>NW_019805500.1:160138-320276 GCF_000001405.40 Homo sapiens
GGGAGAGAAACGCCACCAACTGGTCATTTGTCCTGTGGAAACAAACCAAGGGGAGAGTCAGGCCAGACACCGTGGGTACTGTCTTTGTCACAGAAAGCAAGTTTCACCAATTATGTCAGTCTGCTTGAAGCACCTTCTCTGATCATTTGCACACAGGCTGATAAGGCATCCTCTTTATATCGCCATTTTTATGTCACCATCACTGACTCTATCACACTATGTTAAAATGGGCTGTTTGTGCATTTCTCTCCTCTATACTCCAATATACTGGAGACTCTGTGAGGGCAAGTGTGGTGCTCCACATGTTTGGGAATCTCCAGTGCCTGGCACTGGGCTTGGCAAACAGCAAGTCAGCCCAAAGCTAAATGCACAGCAACCTCAGGACCTTTGCATTTGCTTGCCTGGGAAATTTCTCCCAGTATTGCTGGCTTGGCTTTGTCATCAGGTGTCCTTTCAAATACCACCTCTTTAGAGAGACCTTTTCTGACCACTTAACCTAAAGTAGTACCTGCCTCCCGCTCTCTCCCCACCTTTATTACATCACTCTGTTTATAATACTTCACTCTTGTATCACCAGCTGAAAGCACTGACCTTGCTTACATTAGAATGTAAGTTCCACGAGGACAGAGCCCAGCTGGATTTGTTCAACACTGGCATACAGTAGGAGCTATATTAATATTTGTTGAATAAACAAATGAATCAAAGTGATGTGTGTTCAAACTGACTCCTTCAAATGCACTTTGAGCAATGAATGCATCAATGAATGGACGGATACCAAGTCCTCGATAACCACGGGGCTACTGATTGAGAGAGCTTTAAAAAATATGAAGTCCAATACAAACGAGTGACATCGTTGCCAGCATTGTTATCCCAAATTTATCCCCATCAATCTCAGCACTAGCAGTGTAATCACAGCTAATCCGCTTGCGCATACAGCTGTGACAGTATTTTAAAAGGCAGTCACACGGGTCTCCATCTGCCAGAAACGCAGTCGCCTCTTCTGCTGAATAAACCCAAACAGGTAAATGGTGCTGATGTGACAGCTCCTTTATCACCAGCCTTCTCTGCTTCGGAATTTTTACTTCAAAGGAAAGCGTTAACTATTGTTTCAAATGGGAGGAACAGAGAAGAGAGCAGAAAGATAAAAAAACATCTCTGGGGTTATAATAGAAGCTAGACCTTCGAGAAGCAGGACAGTGCTTTAGAAAGCAATGCTTGGGCAGAAACAGAAAGATCTGGGGACAGATCCCAGCTCCATGACTGAGTCAGCTGTGTGTCCAAGGATGTCATTTAACCTCACTGAATGGCAGCTTTCTCTGAATGCGCCTAGGTTGAAAATTAAACATGCCCAGCACCTAGTAGGCCCATCATGCATATATACTGAATGGACAACTGGGTGGATTTAAAGGGCACACAGTAGGGGCACAATCAATGCACGTCGTCCTGCTCTGCCTCCCAACTCTTTGGTCTGAGCTGCCCCTACTGCTCACCCCCTCCTTCATTTCCCTGCGCCTCTGCAGTCTCGCCACTCCAAGCCCCTGTTCTCTCATTGGATGACTCATGTTGACCAACTCATAATTCCAGCGGAGGGGGCACAAAGCAGTTAAGAGAGGCAGCAGTGAAAATGAGCGCTGCTCGTGTCCCATCCTATTACTGAAATAAACACCAATTCAAAACCAGCCATTCTAGCAGCGGCAGGCACCAGAAACACCCCGTGTGTCTGCAGGGAGTTGAATACAGCACACACACGGAAAGCTAAACCTTGCTGATGGGCACAGAGGTGAACCCAGGGGATGCTCGCAAAGGGCTAACCCCACGTGTCCCTACAATGGTGCATCTCCCGCGTGGTTAAACCCCATCGTGCATGCCAAGGTAAAGTCCACTGGTGCCTCCGACACTGTTACCTGTAGTTTGTGGGGACAGAGCCTCTTTAATAAGTCGCTGGGAGAGGTGGAAACTAAATCGGCCTATAAAAAAATTTAAGCAATGTTTCTCTCCAAACCATAAAGAGGCCCATTCCAACTGCGTTTTAACAGCTCTTATTTACCAACCCCCTCACCACTCTCCGCAACAGTTCATTATTGTTGTCCTGATGAATACGAGACAAGTTAACCTCTGAATGGGTCCCCGGCAGTTGGAATAATAAATAAGGTCTCTCAGACACCCTTAGTGGGAGGATTGAAGGGGCCGGGCCGGGGCTCCTGGGCCCCCTTCTCGTGAAGCCTCAGGTCTCCCAGGGTCAGCGGCTGCAGTTCCATTTGGCAATCCCAGAAAGCGCCTTTCAGGGCTGTGAGCTGGGGCCATTTTCACATTTACCGCTTCACCGAGTCCCCATCTGACGGGGATGAATAGGCATTTAGCGAATTTACTTAGCGATGCTTCCACATGAAATCGTCTCAAAAGATGACATCTTGGGGGAGGGAGGGTGGATGAGGAGGGGGCTGAGGTTTCCAGGCCCAGAGCTTTTGGGCAAAGCCGCCTTTCAAAGCCAAGCGCTGTGTGCTTGGCAAAGGATCCTGATGGATTGTCTGGAAGGGTGGGGCGGGGGGACCCCTGCCTACCCCCCTTGCTAGGGTCTCGGGCCCCTCGCTCTCCCTCTGTGTGAAATGCTTGCTCTGAATGCTAAAGCCCATCCCCCCAGTCCTTCTCCAAAGGGAGATGGAATTTGGCTGAGGACCAAATTCTCCTATTGTTGCTTTCAGACGCCTGTCGATAATTGCCTACATAATATTTAGTTCTCTCCAGATAATTAACAGCTTGCGATCTGGTGACATTTTACCCCGTTCCAGTTTCTCGCGCGCTCTCTCTCTCTCTCTCTCTCTTCCACTCACACACGTTTCTCACTCTCTTTTTCTGGTGAAGTCATTTGCCAAATGGTTCCCATAGTTCATCTCTTGTATCTATCTCATCATCAATTTCCTCCTACTTTTTGCTGAAATGATTAGAAATCATGTCTCTTGGTCTATGCCAGTTCCTCTGCTTCCTGAGGATAACTGGGGCCTGTTGCTACCACCATGGGAGTCACTGGGAAGTCTCTGCTGAAATAAGTAAGAAATAAATGTTAAAATAAACTTACTGGGAGCCATATGAGAATCTTTTTCGAAATGAATAAAAAAATGAGTAATACAATAATCTCCCAAGTCCCAGCCATTTACTAAATGTGCACCATGCCCTAGGCCATGGGGAAAGACTTTTGCCACATTTTATTGCATTTGATAGTCACAATGATGCTAAAAAATGTAAATTTTGGCTGGGTGTGGTAGCTCATGCCTGTAATTCCAGCACTTGGGGAGGCCGAGGCAGGTGGGTCACTTGAGGTCAGGAGTTTGAGACCAGCCCGGCCAACATGATGAAACCCTGTCTCTACTAAAAATACAAACAAATTAGCCAGGTGTGGGCATGTACACCTGTAGTCCCAGCTACTCAGGAGGCTGAGGCTGGAGAATTGCTTGAACTTGGGAAGTGGAGGTTGCAGTGAACACAGATCGCTCCACTCCACTCCAGCCTGGGTGAAAGAGTGAGACTCTGTCTCAAAAAAAAAAAAAAGGAATTTCACTTCACTCTCATTTTACGGACGGGCAACCGAGACTTAGATAAATCATCCATTTAGTAAAGTGCAGAACCAGAACTGGAACCTGGGGACAAATGTCACAGCTTGTGTTCTCTACTACGAGACTGCCTCTACAAATGATAGTGAATGAACGAGTGAATGAATGAATGAATGTATTCCATTTCAAGTGCAGAAGAAAAAAAATACAGGCGCAATAATGTCTTCCTCTTCATAGCCTGGTCTGCAGCCCACTGCTATTAGAAATGCCATACTTCAGGCCCCACCCAATACCTATTGAGCAACAGAGCTCACCCAATATCTATTGAGCAAAAATGTGTTTTCAAACAAGATTCCAGATGATGCATGTGCTCTTTAAAATTTCAGAAGCATTGCTGTAAGTCATGTATGACTATGAGTAGTTAATTCTCTGCTTTCCATCTTTATCTGCTCCTCATGGTTTCTTCTGGAGAACCCGGACTATGAATGAATTACTTTCATTTCAATAAGCCTTAGGTCTTGAGAGTATTAAATAAAAACAATGCACCTAATATCTGTGCCACAGTACTTGGCATATAGTAATCCCCTGATAAATGTCAGCTATTATATAATAGCATTATTATTACCATCTTGAACATCAGAAGCTTAAGACACCTTGAACTGTGGAAAACAGTGTAAAGACCCAACCTGATTTGAACTTGGAAGGCTTTCTGTGCATAAGACCCATGGAATGTTCTGCAGAGCATAGTTTAAGAGATGTCCAAGGCCCCTTCCTGGGGATTTGTCCAAGGTCCCTTCCCAGCTGGTGTCAGACTTAGGGACTGGCTCCCAGAGGGCCATGGCACCATTGTGTGTGTGTCTTATCTATATAACAGCTCTGGACATGAAGATATGAAGGAAGAGAGGGCAGAGTTCTCAGGTTCCCATAGCACCCAGGAGCCCAGGCTGTATGGAAAAGGTGCCCTGGGCACACAGAGGCACACAATGCCTGTTTGCTGGTGGCATGTGACAAGAGATGAAGCCTGCTCAGCTTCCACTAGGAAGGAGCCCAACACAAAGCCAACTGCACCTCTCTGGGCTCCCGGTGCCCACCTGGCACTCATGCCCCAGAACCCCTTCCCGACTGCAGGATACTGTCAAGGACCCTGCCAGAGGTGCTCACAGCCCAACGGTGAGGTGACAGGACTAAAGCCAAAGTTATACGCAGGATTTTGTGAATGTCAGGATTCAGGATTTCAAACCTCTGATGCTGCCAGGTGTGCACAGAGCCCAGGGGACACTGGAGTAAGTCCTCCTGGACTGCAATGAACGACCCATTGTGGGGCAGAAACACACATGAAAGACTATGGGGAGGCCAGGCATGCCTGTAATCCCAGCACTGTGGGAGGCCAAGGCGGGTGGATCATTTGAGGTCAGGAGTTAGAGACCAGCCTGACCAACATGGTGAAACCCCGTCTCTACTAAAAATACAAAAATTAGCCAGGTGTGGTGGCATGCGCCTGTGATCCCAGGCTGAGGCAGGAGAATCGCTTGAACCCAGGAGGTGGAGGTTGCAGTGAGGAGAGATCGCGCCACTGTACTCCCACCTGGAAAACAAGAGCGAAACTCTGTCTCAAAAAAAAAAAAAAAAAAAAAAAAAAAAAAAGAAAGACTATGCTGGTGCATGAGGGACTGTGAAGTCAGGCAAGTTGAGGAAGTTGAGGGTTGAGGTGCTTTCAACCTAAGCTGAGAATAGACTACAACAGTGTTTCCCCAACTTCTGCTTCTAGTGTACCCATAATCTTTAAGTTATTTCATATGTCTATTTAATTTAAATTCTACTTTAGCTTTATCTTATGCACCAATGTTTGTGATATTTGATGTCACAAATTTTTTTTTTTTTTTGGAGACAGAGTCTTGCCATCTTAACCATTTTTCTGAGATCAGACGAGGTTGGGTGTGTTCAGGGTGATATGTCTGTAGACCATCTTAACCATTTTTCAGTGTACAGTTCAGTGGTACTGGATGGATTCACATTGTTGTGCAACCATCACCAATATCCATCTCCAGAACTCTTTTCATCTTGCAAAACTGACACTCTCTACCTGTTAAATAATAATTCTCTATTTCTCTCTTCTATAGCCCCTGGCAACCCCCATTCTACTTCCTCTCTGCTATTTTAACTATTCTAGGTACCTGACATAAGTGGAATTGTACAGGATTTGTGTTTTGCTGGCTGACTTATTTAACTAGCACCATGTCCTCCAGGCTCATCCATATTGTATCATACCTTAGAATTTCTTTCCTTTTTAAGGCTGAATAA
Source organism: Homo sapiens (assembly GCF_000001405.40). Taxonomy (NCBI): domain Eukaryota; kingdom Metazoa; phylum Chordata; class Mammalia; order Primates; family Hominidae; genus Homo; species Homo sapiens. The sequence continues at coordinate 165,988 of NW_019805500.1, forward strand.
TACTCTCTCATGTACCACCTGTATGTTATTTTTTTCCCTGTTACACATTAAAAACATTAACGACCACGTGTCTGTATACTTCTTAAATCAACTGGGCTACCAGAGGCACATATGGAAGAGGTCAACTGTCCTGGTTTGCCCAGGACTGAGGGAGTTCCCACAACACAGGACTTTTAGTTTTAAAACTGGATGGTCCTGAGCAAATGAAGATGAGCTGGTGACCCCAGGCACATGGCTCCATTGAGGGCTGTGTAACCACAGGAGAAGTGCACACTCCACAGAGGCAAAAATCTCACCCTCCTGTGATCAACCCAATGTATAGAAAACAAGATAATGGCAGGGCCTATTGTAACCTTTTCCTATGCCTTTAAAATCATTATGAAAGCTTAGATCACAGCAAGATAAAGACTGAAATACCAGCAATAGCAACATCATCATCATCTAACACTTGAATGCCTCCTATGTGGTATTTGCATCTATTAACCCACTTAATCCTCATGACAACCCTAAGAGGTAGATGCTATTATATTTATATCCATTTGTTATTATATAAACGGGAACATGTATATACATGGATTTTTGTGTAATGACCTATGCTGCTTCTCTCACTCATCAGCACGTACAGGCAGACTTCATCCTTTTAACGGTTGCACAGGATCCTATAGAATGGGCGTAGCCAGCTGGGCATGGTGGCTCATGCCTGTAATCTCAGCACTTTGGGAGGCCAAGGCAGGCGGATCATGAGGTCAAGAGATTGAGACCATCCTGGCCAACATGGTGAAACCTGGTCTCTACTAAAAATACAAAAAAAAAAAAATTAGCCAGGCATGGTAGTGGGCGCCTGTAATCCCAGCTACTCGGAGGCTGAGGCATGAGAATTGCTTGAACCTGGGAGGCGGAGGTTGAAGTGAGCCGAGACTGTGCCATTGCACTCCAGCCTGGGTGACAAGAGTGAAACTCTGCCTCAAAAAACAAACAAACAAAAAGAATGGGCATAGCCAATGCCCTAGTGATGGACACTTAGGTCATTTCCATTTTCTCCCCCTTACAACTACTGCTCCATTGAACACCCTTGAATAACTATCTTTTCACATGTGGGCATGATAGGTTTCTGTAGGATCAAATTTGCAGATATGGAATTGTTCACTCTAGGATTATTTTTCAGTCTTTAATTTCAGAAAGCAAACTACACGGAATGAGACTTCTCTAAGAATTGCCCAAGACTCACATCATTGCACAGAAACCAAGCCTGTGGCTGCCAGGAGCATGGGGAGGAAGAAGGAAATTGCAAAGGTGATGGAGTTGGGATGTCTTGCAGAGCTGGCAGGCTCTTGGCTCCTCCAGCAGGCTGGTGGGGTTAAGCAGGGGCCTTCTGGGTTCCCCAAAGGACCAACCACCAGCGGACCCTGGAAAACAAAGGAGGCTCACATGGAGATGGAAAGGACCTTCTGTCAAGCAACGGGGTCAGGGCAGAACCATCCTCTCCCATGCCTGGAGCAGCTGCTGCAGCTGGTGATCATCTGTCTGCCAACAGAACCAGCATCTGGACTATGGGGCAGCACCTCGGACAGTGCTTTTCAGGACCATGGCTGTAGTCCTGGGATGAGCAGGCATTGAGTCCAATTCCCATCTGTTCCTCCAGGACCTGACACATAGAAGGTGCTAAGTAAGTATTCACTGCTTAATGCAAGCCCAAGTAGAGGCCCGGTATGCAGGGTTCATCTCTGTGGCTTCTATGCTCAGCACAGACAGTACCTGCCCCATGGGAAGGGCTCAGTCCATCATTCACTTTTTTTTTTTTTTGAGGTAGAGTCTCGCTCTGTCACCCATGCTGGAGTGCAGTGGCACGATCTCCGCTTACAGTAACCTCCACCTCCTGGGTTCGAGAGATTCTCCTGCTTCAGCCTCTTGAGTAGCTGGAATTATAGGCGTGCACCACAATGTCCAGCTATTTTTTTTTTTTTTTGGTATTTTTAGTAGAGATGGGGTTTCGTCATGTTGGCCAGGCTGGTCCTGACCTCAGGTGATCTGCCTGCCTCAGCCTCCAAAGTGCTGGGACCACAGACATGAGGCCCTGTGCCTGGCCCATCATCCACTTCTGTATCCACATCTCTGCCCATTCCATACCCTCTGCCAGGAATGCTCCTCCCTACGTCTTTGCCCAATGAACTGGGGGGTGATTTGGGGGAAGGAATCCCAGAGTCAGGGTACTCATGAGAAAATGCTTCATAATAACAATTGCAGAAAGATTTCCCTTTGTTGCTCACCAAGTGTTAAGTGCTCGTCCTCCTTAATTTTACAATACACATCCAGGAGGTACTCATTTGCGGATGAATAAACTAGGACTGGAAGAGCCTTCACAGCTTGTGCCAGGTCTTATGAGTGGTGGAGGGGAGATGCAGACCTCAGTGCCCCAGGGCCAGAGCCTGAGCTGTTTTCAATCCCGCTTTCCCCGTGGTGAATAAGCTTCAGGAATGTGATCCATTTCTGTAGACAGAGGCAGGAAATAAACAGGAAACTGCAGCTGCCTTCTGAAGCCTACTACTTCCCTTCAAGGGGACTGTTGTTGAGTGCGAGTCGCACAACAGGAATTGATACAGGTAGAACCTCTGTTCAGGGTGTATGTCTTTTTCCTGTGCTCCTGTAAAATCTGAAGTCCAGTAAGTTTCCTCCTCCCCCTGCCTCATGAATGGATTCTAACCCATCCTTCCATCTCGTGAATGGATTCTAACCCATCCTTCCATCTCGTGAATGGGTTCTAACCCATCCTTCCATCTCGTGAATGGGTTCTAACCCATCCTTCCATCTCGTGAACGGATTCTAACCCATCCTTCCATCTCGTGAAGGGATTCTAACCCATCCTTCCATCTCGTGAACGGATTCTAACCCATCCTTCCATCTCGTGAATGGATTCTAACCCATCCTTCCATCTCGTGAATGGATTCTAACCCATCCTTCCATCTCGTGAACGGATTCTAACCCATCTTTCCATCTCGTGAATGGATTCTAACCCATCCTTCCATCTCATGCATGGATTCTAACTCATCCTTCCATCTCGTGAATGGATTCTAATTCATCCTTCCATCTCATGCATGGATTCTAACTCATCCTTCCATCTCGTGCATGGATTCTAACCCATCCTTCCATCTCGTGAATGGATTCTAAACCATCTTTCCCCACGGCTTATCTGGGGGAGGAGGAGACACTGCCAGTGCTCTCTCCTCCACACTCCAGACGGTTTATGCAAGGACCTTACTGACATCTTCTCACCCACTGGAAAAATCAGGGAAGTCCAGGGTTGCAGACCAACAGTGAATAAAGGCCAAGTTCGGGACTTGCTGAAGAAGAGACAAGAGCAAAAGAACTGGAAAAAAGGCAAATCCCTGATTCAAATGCAGTCAAAGCACATGCACTTGTATGTTCACTGAAGCACTATTAACAATAGTAAAGACATGGGATCGATATAGGTGCCCGTTAATGGTGAACTGGATAAGGAAGATGCGGTACATACACACCATGGAACACTGTGCAGCCATCAAAAGAACAAAATCATGTCCTTTGCTGCAATATGGATGCAGATGGAGGCCACTGTCCTAAGTGAATTAACAGAGGAACAGAAAGCTAAATACCACATGTTCTCACTTATAAGTGGGAGCTAAAAATTGGGTTCTCACGGACATGAAAATGGGAACAAACACTGGGGACTACTAGAGAGGGAAGAGGAGGAGGGCAAAGGCTGAAAAATAACCTAGTGGGTACAATGCTCACTTACCTAGGTAATGGGGGCCTTCATACCCAAAACCTCAGCATCACACAATATACCCCTGGAGCAAACCTGCACACGTACCCACTGAATCTAAAATAAAAGGTGACTTTTTTTTTTAAAGTTTAAAAAGTAGTCCAAATTTACAGAGACTTATTTTGCTAAGATACGGAGGAAAAGGTATGAAAAATGCTAAAGAGTATGTTTTCCTGGACTCCACAGGCATAATTCCAGCCACCATGAGCAACTGAGGAAAAGTGAACTGGATAAAATGCTGGCCCGGCCTCCAGGCTCCTCTTTACCTCGTCCTCCAGGAAGCAGCTGCAGGATCTTCCTAAAACATGAGTCTGACCATGTCACCCTTTGACTCAGTACCTTCAGCGGCTCTCCATCATCTGAAGGACAATGTCCTTACCCCTTGGCAAGGCATGCAAGGTTGTTTGTGACCCGGCACTGCCTACTCAATCTTTGGAATTACTTGAAGTTTTCTAAATGTTCTGTGTTCTTTCATAACTCTAAGACTGTGCAAGCACTGTTTGGTCTCCTGGGAAAAATATGACTTCCACTTCTTCAATAGGTCAGGCCCTGTGACAAACGCCTGGGACAGGAGTGGGTAAGATGGTTGTGGCACCTGTCCTCAAGGAACGCACAGAACACTGGGGGATGCAGACATATAGGTAGGTCCCTGTGATATGAAGTGAGACAGCAGATGAATTGAAGCACGAGCATTCAGGGGAGGCTACAAAAAGTATGCTGGGGACACCAGGGGGACAGTACCTCCTTCTACAAAGGCAGGCAGTAAACTGGAGAACTACCTGGTTGTTACAACCCAATCAGTTTTAATTGGATTTACCTTTTTGTACTGACAAAAATGATGTGGCATTAAAACACACTCATTGTATTTGAATGGACCGGCAAACCATTTCACAAAGCCTCAGTGCTTTCACAGGACATTTGTAAGAAACACATTTTTCATTTTAAACATACATATGCCTTTCTAAGAGGCAGTTTATCTGATGTTCTATCAATGAGAACTCTTAACACACCAGCCCTTCCTTCAGACGGCTGTAATGGAAAGGTAACTGACAACAATCAGCACCCAGGGGCCACGCAGGAACCCAGGACGCCACCGGAATCATGAATGAACTAAACTGACATTCTGCTTGGTGGGTTGGGGGGCGGGCGGGGAGGGTGGGGATCGTGTGTGTGCACATATGTATATGAAGTCTATTTAACTGTATTTTGATTCTCTTAAGTCTGCTTGTCCTCACATGCCATGAGGCATCTCAAATGTGCACAACATTTAGTTAACCAAATTCTGCATTCCCATACAATGATTGATTACAGCCAGTTATTTGATTTGGTCTTCAGGGAACCAGGGGAGGTCCACTTCAGAGGGCATCGAAAGATTGAATCTTAAAAGTAAATGCAATTTAAGTAGGAAAGCCAAGACACGGCTACAAGGAAAGCTGTTTTCAGAGAGGTGTTTACAGTAGTTTCTCTCTGCTCCTTGCCACTTTCTTGCCGTTTGATTTTTAGCAAGTTCCTCAGGCTCACTGAGCCTTGGTTTTCTAATCTGCCAAATGGGAGCATTTAACAATGGTCTATGAGTTACTTGTGTGTTGTGGGTATGGTACATGCAGTGCCTGGTGCATAGCAGGTGCGCAGTAACTGGAGTTCCTTGGAAAGAAGTTTCTATATTCTTCGCTAGAAATGCAGAGAGAAAGGCATGTCCACCCCTTGCTAGTTTCCTACCAAGCTGTGACATTTCAATTCTTACACACTTGTGGTTCCTAGCAAAAATTTAAGTTATGTATGTTCAAGTTGCTTGACTGTAAGCTACCTGAGGACAAGAACTTTATCTGGGTCATCTATGTTCCCCAACTGTCCAGCACAGAGGCCAGGAACATGACAGGTTCCATCAGCCTTATGCCTATTTCTCTTTGGGTCCCCAGGCCCATTTCACTGTAGCCCACGGAAACTGCTCAGCACAACTGTGTTGCAGGACAGAATGAGGGCTTTTGTCCATACCATCCCTAATGCCAGAAACATCCTTCCTACACCTTTGCCTAGAGAACTCCTGCTTGCCTTTGCAAAAGCTGGCTCAATGTCAGTTCCACTGGGAAAGGCTGGAGTATAAATAACCATTGAATGGCACTGAACTGTACTGACACGCTGACCTTTCTCTTTGTGCTTATGGCTGAGAACAGATGCCTTTTTCACCATTCATCCTGCCCTGGGTTTATTCAAATAATCACCATGACCTATAATACTAATTTGTCCATTTCCATTTCACCACATAGGTCTTCCTAACGCACCTACACTAATGTATCAGAATTTGCAGTGGTTAAAATAATGCAGATCTGACATCAGAGAAATGTAGGTTTGAGTCCTAGTTCTACTACTTATTGGCTGTGTGGCCTTGGGCAGGTCATTTTTAGCTAGTCGATGCTCAATTTTGTCATTTTTAAAATTGAGGATAATAACACTATTTACCTTATAGAGTTGAAGATGTAATGAAATAAGAGGGAATAATCTGTTGCTTGCAACTACAAAATTCTAGCTGATACAGAAACTGGTATCAGAAGTCGGGTAATGAGTGTTGAGCCAGTGAAAACAAGAGAGATCTAGTACAGCTTAGGTAACCTAGCCCACAGAATGCTAGAATGTCAGATCTTATTATTGTTATTATTTTTATTATCATGAATTCTCCAGGACTAGAGTCTGCACTGTGCCAGGAGTAGGATACAGCAAGGATCTCTAACTCCCAGAACTTTGGGACTGGGTCAGTTTGGATTTCAGCCCCAAGGTGAGATTGAGCTTGAAGGACAGTTGATAGTGTCACCAAGCATCTCATTCTCCTTGGGCAGCTTGCCACATTCACCTGCCTGTCTGTATTGGAACAAGGTCAAAATGCACTGCAACACAGGCAAGAAGTCATACACACCATGGAAAAACAAACACTGTGGTTTCTGCAACACAGAGATCGATTCTGGAGGATCAGGACATGCTGCGTCCAGTAGACTCTTTACCCACAGATTTCCAAGGTTACTTGTTTATCTCAGAGGGCTGATGAGAAATTTCAAAAGGATTTTTAAACGGATTTTTTCTTTTTAAACAGAGGACACAGGCCTTGAAGTAACTTGACAGTTCCTAGGCAAAGAAAACTTCAGAAATGATTTAAATGAGACGTTATCACATAGATCATCGGTTTTTAAGCTGCATCTGGGGGAACCCCAGGTTGGGGCTGGGCAGCTGGGGCCTCAAGACACCTCAGTAGAGGTTTCCTTACTGAGGACTCACTTCCACCCCTATATTGGGTAAAATTTCAATTGTGCAAAAATGGTTTAGTAGCCTAAAAACAAGTGTTCAAAAATCATTTAAAAAACGGCCAATTTAACTTCCAGTTCTCCTTTAGGAGAGGAAGGAGGCTGGCATCTTACTCAATAGCAGAACTGGCTGAGCTCTGCCCTCACTAACTGCCCAATCTTGGGCAGATGACAATTTTTCTGAACAGCACTGTTGCCTTTATAATAACAGGAATCGCAATATGACATGCCTTGTGGAGTTGTTTTGGGGTTAGAAGGAATGATATCAGGTTAACCTGTTAGCATGGGTACTCGGTGTACAGTAAATACTTAGTAAGTATTAACTATGTTACTCTTGCAGCTGTGAATTAAATTTCTTTTTATTCCCTCCTTCCTTCCCTCCTCTCTCCCTTTTTTTTCTCTCCCTCTTCCATTTCTCTTTCCTTTTCCTTTGTCCTTTTCTTTCCTTTCTCTTCCTGCATCCTGCCTACTCAATCTTTGGAATTACTTGAAGTTTTCTGAATGTTTTGTGCTCTTTCATAACTCTAAGATCCTGCAAGCTCTATTAGCTTTCCTGGTAAATACAATTTCCCAGTTCTTCAGCAATTCAGGCCCTGCCATAAGCATTTGCTGAGCATCTTCCTATGTGCCAAAGACTGCGTTCATTTCTTTTTTTTTTTTTTTTTTTTTTGAGACGGAGTCTCGCTCTTGTTGCCCAGGCTGGAGTGCAGTGGCGTGATCTCGGCTCACTGCAACCTCTGCTTCCCAGGTTCAAGCGATTATCCTGCCTCAGCCTCCTGAGTAGCTGGGATTACAAGCATCCACCACCACATCTGGCTAATTTTTGTACTTTTTAATAGAGATGGGGTTTTGCCATGTTGGCCAGGCTGGTCTCAAACTCCTGACCTCAGGTGATCCGCCTGCCTCAGCCTCCCAAAGTGCTGGGATAACAGGCGTGAGCCACCGCACCTGGCCGACTGTGTTCATTTCTGACTTGAGACATGAATTCTGCTTTTTCAACAGCTGGGTATCACTTTGAGTTGTATGGGCCCATTTCATTGAGGACATTTAAGCCCGGGTTTTATTTGACTCTACATGAGCTCATACCTCCTGCTTCTTGGGTAAAAGCTGTTCATTTACAGATATTTCTTTCTTTTCCCAGAGAGGTATTTACTCAGGGGCAATACCTTAGTCCTGCTCCTTCTGCGCTCCTATGGTGACTGATACAGTGCTTTACTAACAAACAAACAAACAAACAAAAAAAACCAAATTAGTAACAAATGTCATCTGGGATCTGATCACATAAACTCTGCCGGGAAGATGCTGACACAAGTTCATTGCTCGCTGATGAATTATTTTCAGTGCCAGGTCTCTGAGTATTTAAATGGCTGCATTGTAAAAACAGGATCGTATTATAAATTGTCAAACAGGACGTGTAGTAGATGAAGGCAGATTTGTGCACGCCACACTACCTCCACGTACTCATTCAGCAAACATTTATGTTACAGCTACTATGAGTCACGTGCTGTTTCAGATGCTGGAGAAACAGTGAAGATGAAGACAAAATCCCTCTGAGAATGGAGCTTTGGTGTTCCGAGGCATCCACGTACATCCTGGATTAGCTTCCCTCTATGCATTAAGAGCATACTAGTCACATACCATCCTTGCTAGAATCAAGAACACAGGCACTCTGCCCACTTCCTGTGTTTTGTGGCTCAAATGAGGAACCTCAGTTGAGCAAGGCTTGGCTAGCGCCATGTCTGGCATATTATAGTTGCTCAATGCACACAGGGACAAAGGTTGAATGCAATCTCCGAGTCTGTGCCAGGTTCCTGGAATGGAATTCACAAACTCGGACAGAATTCCTTTCATGCTAAGGCAGATACATCAGCAGGTCCAGCTGAGACGAGCCTAACTGAGTGACAGCTTGACGTGCTGCTGTTCTGCAGAATCATCATTCGGCAAAAGGTGAAATAGGTTTAAAGATCATCTCTACTCCTTAATCCTTGCGGTACCACCTTGCAGGTTTCTTTATCCTTCTGAGCCTCAATTTCCTTGTCTAAGTTGAGCAAAGATTTGATGAGATCATGGGTGTGGAAGACTCAATCCAGTGCCTGCCACATAGTAATCGCTTGATTATCTGGTAGCCCTTGTTTTTTATTTGGCTCTGAGTGAGGGAGAAGGGTGGCAGGCTTCCCCAGGCTGCAATGTGCAGTCATCAAAGGTTTTCTCAGGGAAGCTGTGGTCCTTGGGATGTTGACGAACCCAAGAGTTAGAGACCAAACCAAGACCAACCTCTCTGTGGTTGTTCCCTGGCTGGCCCTCCAGAGGGTGGCCAAAAAAATAAATAAATAAAACACAAAAGAAAGATATACATCTACAGAAGCTGAAATTCCTCTGTTTTTCTACTTTATCTTATTACTTCTTCCCTTTTTCTCTAAAGTAGCTGAACCACATATGTTAAGAGTCATTGTAATACTGAAAAGAATGGAAAACAGGTGTTCGAACAAAACTTGGCCATGCTATTCATGGCAGCACTACTCACAATAGCCCAAAGTAGTAACAGCCCAAATGTCCATCACCTGCTGAATGGATAAAGCCAAATGAGGTCTATCCAGACAATGGGATATTAGTCAGCCATAGAAAGAGATGAAGTACTGATACAAGCTACAATGCAGATGAACCTTGAAAACATAATGCTAAGTGAAAGAAGCCAGACGTGAAATACCCACATGATGTATGATTCCATTTATATGAAATATTCAGAGTTGGCAAATCCACAGAAACAGAAAGCAGACCGGGGGTTGCCAGGGGTTGGGGGTCAGAGGGGAATGAGGAGTGACTGCTTAATGGGTACAGGTTTTCCTTCTGGGGTAACTAAAATGCTTGTAACTAGATAGTGATTATGCTCATATACCATTGTGAATGTATTAAGCGCCACTAATTTCAGTTGTATATTATTTTTGGCATATTAAATATAACTTGTTTTTTGAGATGAAGCCTCACTCTGTTGCCCAGGGTAGAGTGCACTGGTGCGATCTCCGCTCACTGCAACCTCCACCTCCTGGGTTGAAGCGATTCTCTTGCCTCAGCCTCTCAAGTAGCTGGGATTACAGACATGCACCACCACATCTGGCTAATTTTTTGTATTTTTAGTAGAGACAGGCTTTCATCATGTTGGCCAGGCTGGTCTCGAATTCCTGACCTCAAGTTACCGCCCTCTTTGGCCTCCCAAATTGCTGGGATTACAGGTGTGTGCCACCACATCCAGCCAACATATTTTAATGTTATTATTTATGTTTTTATTTTTATGCCACAATAAAAATATGACAGTTGAACCCCAAAATTTCAAACTGAGAAATAAAACAACAGCTACAATAATAACCATGTTTGGTGTATCCTACCTATTTTATATACGCTATCCACCTAATCCTCACAACCCCCCTAAAATAGGCAGCAGTAGCTCCATTTTACAATGGAGCAAACTTCTCAAAACTTGGGCAACGTGTCTAATAATCATGATGATCATAACAATAATAAGTATAGAATATAAGAGTTGCTTGCTGAGGCACTTGTTACATATCGGCTCAGTTTGCCTTCCCAACATCATCATGATGTACATATTATCATTATCACCCATTTTACAGAGGAAGATGAACAGAGAGGTTAAGTGACTTGGCCTAGGTTAGACAGCCCACAGGTAACAGAAACAGGGATTTGCACCCAGGTCATTTGACCTCAGAGTCCATATGCATCACCACTGGAGCCCGCAGGCGTGGTCATGGAGCCGGGAAGGAATGTGGACACCTGCAGAACTTACCTCCCTGTCCTCTCTCATGGAAAATGGGAACAGACTAGGTATCTGCTCCATGACATCAAGTGACTTCATGGGATCCAGACCTTCCCCCAGGCTGCATGGAAGCCAGCATATAGCCAGACAGGTGTGATATGTGAATGTCCCTCTGGCCTGCCAGGCTCCCAGACACAGATCCTTGATATCTGTGCAGGCACCTCCACTTTATGTGGAGAAGCAGCTGAGCCAACCTTAGGATTCATGAGTACCTACCACAGCTCACTGTCCTTTTGAAATAAACTCTCCAGCTCTTTGGAATGTTTTCTGTTTTCATGGTGGTGAAATCTGAAAACGTCTCTAGGTGAAAAGACATTAAGTAAAGACAAAACCCCTCCACTGGTCCTCAATCTAGGAATAAGCCCAGAGATGTTTTTAATAAATGGGGAATGCAAAAAAAAAATGCGGTAAAATATCAGTGACTCTCCTGGCACTTAGAAATAAAGGACCACAGCCACTGCAGCCACAGTGGTGTTATATGGGACAAACACTGAGCACTCATTTGCTCCTTCATGCCTTACTTCAGTAAGTACTTACTGAGCTCTCACTATGTGCCAGGCACTGTACCAGGAATAAGACACAGTGGTGAGCAAAACAGATGTCATCTCTCCACTTGTGGAACTGTCACCCGGGCAGCTTGGGTCACCATCACTATCATCGTTTCTCGAGCCCTTTCTCTGGGTCAGGCAAGGTGCTACACATTTCACAGCTTCATCCTTACAGTAAAGGCTGAGGCAGGTAACTGATGGTTCCCATTTTACAGATGAGAAAACTGAGGCAGAGACAGGTTGAGCAACATGCCCAAGGGCACGTGGCCAGTAAACAGAACAGCTGGAAATTGAACTCAGGCTCTGCTGCCTCCTCAAGTGCACACTTTCAACCGCTTTGCTGCACTGGCCTGAGGGCCTGAGCCCTGGAAAATTCCTGCCGACTAGCAGAAGGAGGTTTGTAGGTCCAGTTCCAGATCCAGCTTACAGGGTCTCTCCAGGAAACCCAGGGCCACGAAGCCTAAGAATAAGGTATGCTGCAGAAAAGCTCAACACCAAGAGAAAATAATAGCAACAAAGCAACAGGAGGCATTTAGCCTGGTGGAAAGTAATTACCTGAGCTATAATGTACATATCTACTAGCAAAAAATACTAGCTATCATGTTTCCCCTCCTCCAGCAGGCTGGTACAGTCCTCTACTTTTTTTTTTTTTTTAACTTTCTTTTTCCCACTGCCAAGCAACTGATTATAAACTGAACCAATCTCATCATGGCATTTTCTAATAGAAAACTTTTCAAAGGCTTCCCATTGCTTATAGGATAAGCTTGGACTCCTTAACCTGGCTCTAAAGGTCCCACACGGTCTGGCCCCCACCTGCCTCTCTGGCCTCATTCTATTGGCTTATCCCCTTGCCACACTCTGTCCACATAAGCCTCTTTTCATTTACCACAGAAGCCATGTTTTCTCCTGCCTCAGTGCCTTTGTGCATGCAGCCCCTGCTGCTTGCAATGTTCACCGCCCCCTTTTTTTCACCCAGTTAATTCCTCCTCTTCTTTCAACTCTCAGGAAACCACTGGGCAGAGGGCACTCCAGCCTGCTGCCCATCTCCTTCTTAGTTTTACATAAAAGGAGGGGGAACTGATGGTAGGATTACTTAGTGCCAGTGAGATTGCTTGAGACGTGGTTATGGGATGGGTACTTCTCCAGGGAAGCTTTCCCTGGTCCTTTAGAAGAGAAGGGGTGATATGCATGTCTGTTTCCTGCATTATATGCATGCAAATTTCTTTCCTGACAATGTCATGAAGATGTCATTATTTGATGGCTTAATCTGTATATTCCTCAAAGGCAGCGATGTTAATGGTTCTATTGGTGTCTGTAACCCCAGGTCCTGGCAAATGTCTGGCACACAGTAGGTTTCCAACAAGCATCTGTTGACTGACTAGAATGTATGAATGAATGAACAAATTCACAGTGACGCCCTACAGCTGATAGTTCATTAAAATGTATTTTGCGGACACCACCTTGGTTAAAAATCTCTCTCTTCCTGAATTAACATTGCAACCTGAGACAGACTTCCAAGATAAATTACAGGAGGGGAGCCCAGACACATCCAGGCAGTGAGTCAGTAGAAAACCAGACACACAAGATCAACTGGATTTATAGAAAGTACTAGAGGAACACATGTCCAGTCACTCTGGGAAATCTTTGAGAATTAGCTGGCATTAAGGCATTAGTCAGCAACTTGCCTGGTCAACCAAGGAAAGATAAACGAGCTCTGTGCTTTTAGCGGGGGAGCAGAAACTTGGGGTAAGTGCTGAAATCAACGAGTCTCAGGATTCAATGACATTAACCTTTTTGATTCAGATTGAGGAAGGTGGTGCAGGGTGAATTACGGTGCTAATGAGGACCAGGTATTTATCCTGCGTTTAGGCAGAGAAGGCTGGGTGGTAAGAAAACCGGTATGCTCTGGCTGGCAGGAACTCTGCGGGGCTGGATAGCCATGGAGGACTGTCTGTGTGCAAACTGCCTGTCTCCTCTCGGCCGCCCCTGGTCAGGCAACACTGATGGGTGAGCTGTGTTTCATGTGCTCCTTACCAGCTCAAGGTCAGAAATGGCACACGAAGTAGGTTAGGGGAACATAAAATAAAGGGAGCCTGCTGTTTAATAAGGGGTTCAGCTACCCAGGACTGGGTAGAAATCCAGGTCAAGGCCTAGGGGAGGTAGAGCAGAAGGCCTTGGGGATCTCCATCACTCATTCTCTATCCAGGGTCCTGAAGTCTGAAGCACTTGAGGTGATTCAGATTCAACCCCACCTGGGTTGACAGAATCATCTAAGATAGTGAAGCAAAGGCCATGCCTAGGAAGATGGGTGAGTGGGTTGGCACTAAATTTGAAAGGGCTGAGATGTACGTGTTCTGGGCAAGGCCACGATCTGAAACATGGGAGATCTGGCAGAATGATCAAGTGCAAACTATTGCCTGCCACCTGTTTTTAGAAAGAAAATTTTACTGGAACACAGTCATACCCATTCATTTACATACTGTCTATGGCCGCCTTAGTATTACAACAGCAGAGTTTCGTCATCCTGAGAGACATATATGTACCACAAAACCTAAAATATTTACTATCTGGCCTTTTAATAAAAACTTTTGAGGCTGGGCGTGGTGGCTCATGCCTGTAATCCCAGAACTTTGTGAGCTCGAGGCAGGCAGATGGCTTGAGCCCAGGAGTTTGAGACTAGCCTGGGCAACATGGCAAAACCCTGTCTCTACAAAAATACAAAAATTATCCAAGTGTGGTGACATGAGCCTGTAATCCCAGCTACTCAGGAGGCTGAGATGGGAGGACCACTTGAGCCTGGGAGGTCAGGGCTTCAGTGAGCTGTGACTGTGCCACTGCACTCCAGCCAGGGTGACAGAATGAGACCCTGTCTCAAAAAAAAAAAAAAAGTTTGTTGAATGAACGGAGCTGGAGGCTTTTATCCTAAGTGAACTAACAAAGGAAGAGAAAACCAAATACATATTCTCGCTTGTAAGGGGGAGCTAAACATTGAGTACACACGGAAACAAAGAAGGGAAGGGTAGACACCAGGGTCTCCTTGAGGAGGCAGGGAGGGTGAGGATCGAAAAACTATCAGGTACTCCATTTATCACCTGAATGATGCAGTAATTTGTACACCAAACCCCCAGGACACACAATTTACCTATGTAACACACCTGCACATGTACCCCTGAACCTCAAATAAAAGCTAGAAAAGAAGTTTGTTGATCCCTCGCCTGATAACTCTCTTTTTTGGGTCATTCACAATCTTCCTCATAACTTTCTGGCATATCCGTCTAATCGAAGTGTCTTCCTGACCCACCCTATCCTCTTTCCATGCAATAGTTTTCCTGGTACTCATTTCTACCTGATATATGACCCGCTCACTTATCTACTGTCTCTTTCTCTAATGAGCATGGAGGATGCACAACAGTGCTTGCTTTCTTTACTGCCATATTCCCAACCCCCAGCAAAATGGCTGGAGTATACCAGGCACTCAATAAGTACTTGCCAAATGACTGAAGAGCCACTTACCCCTTGTATTGTTGCCTTGTTAATATTTTCTCATTTAAATCAACTTTCATTTTATTTATTTATTTACTTTTTATTTTTAAGGAAACTTCAGCTTCCAAAATCTGGGCTGAACATGTTCCTATTCCCTTCTATGTGTTAATATAGATAAACATGGACATTTTCAAAGACTCGCCTGCATTTCTCTTTAAATCATCTTACATACTGCAAGCGGCCCACAGGCCATACTTGGGAAGTCCTGACTCATTGTTAAGGACATGGGTGGGTTTAAGCTCCACTGAGCTCCACTTCTGGGTAGCTGAGCATCTGCTCAAGTCCCTTCTCTTGCAAATGGGGACAATGAAGGTCCCATCTCACCAGATGGCTGAGAGATTAAAGGAGAACATAGAAGAAGCACTTAGCACCTGCAGAAACTCAGTGGCAGGGAACTCTCAGGGGTGGGGCCATCTCCCGGTCGCTCAGTTCATGACAAAGCAGTGCCCCCTTGGTACTGCAGCCATCACTGTCATGAAGCCTGTCTGAGACACTGCCCCAATTCCTGAATGGTTGCACCACAACCCAGCAAAGCAATTTGGATTAATGGGACTATTTAGCTGTAGGTGTCCAGAGAATGCATTGTTTAAAGTAACTTGTTGGAAACTTCCCCAGGGTGGCAAATTTTAAACAAAGATTGACTCTGTAATCAAAAATTGCTTCTGCTTGGCCTTAAACCAGATTCCGGCATCCTGAAGAGCATGATTAGACTGAGAAAGGGTGGCAATGTTTGTGCCCCTGGCTCGGTTTGCCAAGTAATGTTGACTGATGAATACAATTAAATTGCACTGAGGAGAATCCCTCCCTGGAGGAGAAAGGACATAGGAGACGGGTGATGGCTTTTAGGGGCACAGTTTTTCATTCCTTCTCCATAAGGGAACAACCACCATTGTGGGATTCCCCTTCACCCCCTACCATGGGAAAACTGGCCAGTACTACCAAATGGCCTTCCCCTTCCCATTCTCCACTTTTGGATTAACTGGTCTTATAGGCAGTGGGCCAAGACTAGATTCCAGGTTCTAGAGACACTCCATCTGACCTTCATGGGCCTGCTTCACCTAAGCTGAGTGGGAGTGGGAGGAGGCAGCAGGGGAGTCTCATGAACCATGAAGACTTTGCTCTCTGCGTTGGCTTCTGTTCCATGATGATTTCCTAGGAAGCTGACCTGCCCAGATGTCCAAATCACTTTCTGATATTGCCTGGGGCCACCAGGGGAGGGTCAGAGGCAGGCCACTTGAGCATGGGGATGGGGTGAGGGTTGGTGAGGCTGGGAATTGGAAGGAAGTTTCCCACTTGAAATTTCAGGTAGATTGCAGTTGCATTCAAAAAGTAACTGGAGAAATGCACTTGATTTTTCAAAGTAAGTGGAGAAATGGACTTGAGAAATGGAATATGTTGTTTCACCTCATTGGGGTAGAGAAGGCCAGTAAACACTAGGGCTGTCTTCAAACAGCCTTGCAGCAGGGAGGGAATATGGGGGCCCAACTACAGGCAAAGAAGGCTCAGCTCAAGGCAACTACCTTCCTCACTCTCATCACGATCAGACTTCCTCAAAGGCAGGTGCCCCCTGCCCAATCTGCATTTCTGTATTAGTACAAGGAATAGAGACATAAAATATAAGAGGAAGAAAGAAGGAGAGAATAAGGAAAGTGACCACACAAGGCCAGACCATGTTTTTGTCCAGAATTAATAACTATACAGGATTATTAATTATCATTGTCATCACTACCATTATCATCAAAAAATTTCCTTGTTAAAAAATGCCCAATTCCGGATTAGGTCCTGTGTTCCACTATCTTTCATGTTTCTAACAATCCTATGAGGAAAGTACCCTGGGGAGGGCACTCTAGCCTGCTGCCCATAGCAGGTTCTCCTCTGCCCATCTCTCTCCTACATTTACCCAAAGGGAGGAACTGAGGGTAGGATTACTTAGTGCTGGAGAGATTGCTTGAGACATGGTTATTAGTGGGCTAGATATCTGTTCTGTGAACCCTTCCTCCTCCCAAATGAATTGCACTTCTTTTTTTTTTAATGTTTCTTGCCTCAGGCCTGGGTGGTACTTAAGCCTCTTGGGGCCACGATGAGTTACCCCAACCGCTTGATGCAACGGGGTGGGTACAGTAAGCTAAGGTCTCCCTGGTGGATTCAACCATCTCTCCTTGCTTTGTATCCATCAGTATGACCAAGCATCCTGGTCCCAATGTTTTGATGGTGAGAAGGTGGAGAGGAGGTCACATGGAGCTGCCAGACCTGAGCCACCATGCTCTGACCTAGCTGTCATCAAACAGCTTGAAATAAAGCAGTACCTGGAGTCCCACCTGGCTATTCTTCCTTTTACCGCTCCCTGATGGGTAGCATGGTCATGCCCTCTCACAGGTGAGAAAAAGGAGACTCACAAAGGTTGGATTTGTTGCTTGAGAGCATATAGCTCTCATACAGGGGATGAGGACAGGTACCTTGGTCTGTACAGGCTGCTATAACAAGACACCATAACTGGGTGGGTTAAACAATGGAGATTTATTTACTCACAGTTCTGGAGACTGGAAAGTCCAAAGTGCCTGTCAATTAGATGCTGGTGAGGCCTCTCTTCCTGGCTTGCAGAAGGCCACCTTCTTGCTCTGTCCTTACATGGCAGAGAAAGAGAGAGCGAGCTCTCTGGTGTCTCTTATAAAGAAGGACACTCCTTCTATAGGATCAGGGCTCCATGCTTATGATCTCATTTTACCTTAAGTACCTCCTTATAGGCCCTATCTCCAAGTACAAGGGTTAGAGCTTCGACATATAAATTTTAGTGGGGCACGGTTCAATCTATAGCAACAGGATTCAAATCCAGGTCAGGCTGATATTGCATGGCCTCTTCTACATCGTAGTGGAATGACTTGATGGTGTAGAATATGCCAGCATTGCTTTGAGTTTGCTTTGATTTTGCTTTGAAACAATTAGGCATATGTGGGGGGTGGGGTGGGGGGAGGGACAGAAGCCATTCCTTTCTAATTATGCTTGCATTAGGCTAATATTTAAATGAATGAGAATTCCACTGGGCACCACCAGATAGCCAGTTAGGGTAGAGATATGGAGAGTCTGAGGTCCAATGGGAACAGGATTACAAAGGAATTTGAAGGTTGGGGTTGTTCTTGCTAACGCAGGACAGATGGTTCCTAGGTCTATGCTTAGAGCACACAGTCAGTAAAGCTTGGATATTCCATTAGAGAAAGAAAGAGACCATCTGGAGATGGGTCTACACTGGCTTTTGGCTTTGGCAGCCACATCGTAGTGTTGGCATCCTTGGGTGATCGGCTTTCCCTCCCTGGGGTCAACCACTTACACAACACACTGCATAAAGCATGGTGAACTTCAGGGTCAGCTAAGCCTGCATTCAAATCCCAGCTTGGCCACGATCAAGTCATGTGACGTTGGGCAAGTCACTTGAACACTCTGAGTCCTGGTGCTGTTCTATATGTCATCTTACTGGGATGCCATGGGGACTAAAGCAGAAAGTGGGGGCAACTTGGCAGTTGGCTAAACATTAGGTCACTCTGGATCTCAGGTTCTGATGTACCCTGCTCATCTCTTGATACGTGGACAACTCTGCCTCCTGGATTCTCATCCAGATACAGAAACCAAGGATTTAGATGGGGAAGAAATGAGTGAGAGAGCTTTACCCCAGAACTATCCAGCAGGTGAAATTATGACCCGTTGGCAAAAAACTCAGGTCCTTTCCTCTCTGCCCCTACTCCCCGTGATGAAAGAAGCATGCATTTAAATCCTGGCTCCAACCCCCACCAGTTGTGAGACACTGAGAAAATCCCTTTACTTCTCACAGCCTTGGTTTCTTCATACTGCGATGCAGTAACACTATCTACCTTCTGGGATTGTTGTGAGAATTACATGAGATAATGCATGGAAATCACTTGGCCTAGAATCCTATGCACAGTAAGTAGTCAAGAAATGTCAGCAAATATGATTAGCTACTGGAGTATGGCAGGTCTTAAAAGGCTTTCCCAGGCATCTACTTTGAGTGGCTACTATTGACCATGCTGGACAATGACTCAGGGTGGGAGCAAGGGAGAGAAAATACTTGAATGATAATAAGAATAATCCACAGAGTCCGTCTGTGTGCCTAATGATCAGACCTTAACCCTGTCGCTTGGATCCTATACTCAGTCAAATCTTTGCCCTCATCAATTTTTAAAAGGGTAGAAACGCTCCTCCCTTATCCCACTTTTAATACATGCGGTTCCTCCAGATTGCCCTTGAAAAGAATCTTCACCTGCAGTTAGATGTAAGGAACAGGCAAGGGAAGAATAATAGACTCTACAATAAAGACCACCCACATTGTAGACCACCCCGGGCTCACATCCAAATTCCCAGGATGCACTTGGAGCATCCCAGCATGGATACCGTCCATACTCTTGGCCACCGGAGAAAAAGTCACATAAAAGACGGCTTTTTTTTTTTTTTTTTTTTGCCAATAAGCAAAAATGCTCAATGCACTGGGCAGGAAGATGCCAGGGTTGGAAACGTCCCATCCACAGACACATAGAGAGCCGCTGCCAAGAGGAAGGAGAATTGTGAGATCTGGAGAGGGAGGGATTCGGAAGAAAATACATTGCAAAATTCATTGTGTGGTCAAGCTGGGATCTGGTGAGAATATCAAATTGGCAGAGGACAGAGACCACATTTATTTCTGTACTATTTAGCCTGGACTCTCTTTTCTTCTGGTAACAGTAGTATAATTCTCTCTAGTGGAAGTGTTTGTACCCCATGGCATCGATGTAAGGTTCATGAGCGCACAGTTTTAATTTAACTTTAAATTAAAATCATATCAAATTGAAAATTTAGTTCCTCAGTCCCACAAGGCACGTTTCAAGCTCTCAATGGCCACCTGTGGCTAACGGCTACCATACAGGATGGTGCTTATAGAACATTTCCATCACCCCCGAAAGTTCCACTGGACAGTGCTGGTCTAGAGCATTGCCTAATATCTAGCAGAATCTCAATGAGCATCTATTTAATGAATGGATGAATGGCCAAGTGCTCTATTCTCTGCTAGCCAAAGAAGGGATACACAACTCAAGAGAGAACTATCACATTTTTCCCCAGGACTCTGAATTTTTTTTGTTTTCCGTTGTGAAAGAAAGAGAAAGCAAACAAAATAGCAAGCAAACAAACAATACAACTAAAAGTTATTTAAGCCAGATGATGGCATCCCTTGGGTGAAGCAGTCACTTCAATTCTTGTCTTCCACCACATCCTTCCCAGAAGGTCCTAAGCCCATAGACCACTCTTGGCTTTCTGCAGAACCTTGGTTTTCATGAGATCTCCGAGAACTCTAGGCTCACTCTGTTTGTCCAGCCGATGGTCTAGGTCACTTCTGGCCTTAAGAAGGCTTAAAGAGCTGACCAGCCTAAAATACAGCTCAGGAGACCCAGGACAACTGGCAAGAGGGAAGCAAACTGCATTTCTGCAAAAGCAGGAGTGTGTGCTCCATCAGCCTGAAAAATAACAGGGCTGAGGATATGTTTATTTTGTGACTAGAGGCAAACAAAACTGTTAACGGCATAATTACTGGCATGTTTTTCCAGTCTCCTTGTGAACAACAGTCCGAGCAGATACACCCTTTCAAACTCACACATTATCTGGGTGGAGGTTTTATTGGATGGTTTCGAACCCAGGAACTTTGGGGTCTCAGGAAGCAGAGTGTGTGTCTCTGAACGTCCCAAAGAACAAAAGTGGTTTGGATGCTGAGAAAGCAGAATGCAGGGGAGATGGTCACACCCAAATATCTGAGTGTTGGGCCACCAAGTATGCTTTCCCACGAAGTACTGAGGCTAACATTTTCCAACACAGCATGTAGCTTCTATTTATTTTTCTAACTATGTGAAAGATGTCTCTCTCTCTCCCTGGACCAGTGGATTTCAATTCTCACTAGTACAATCACCTGCAGGGTGCTGGACACTTTAAAAATATATAGATTCTTGGCTGGGTGCAGTGGCTCACACCTGTAATCCTAGCACTTTGGGAGGCTGAGGTGCGCAGATCACTTGAGGTCATGAGTTTGAGGTCAGCTTAGACAACAAGGTGAAACCTTGTCTCTACTAAAAATACAAAAATCAGCCAGATGTGGTGGAGAGTGCCTGTAATCCCAGGTACTTGGGAGGCTGAAGCAGGAGAATCACTTGAACTGGGAGGTGGAAGTTGTAATGAGCTGAGATTGTACCACACTCCAGCCTGGGTGACAGAGTGAAGACTCTATCTCAAATATCTCAAATATATATATACACAGAGAGAGAGAGAGAAATTGATTCTTGGCATCCACAAGGAATTTACATTCAGTTGATCTGGAACGGAACTCTAGATTTCTTTTTTATTTTTATTTTTTAAGACGGAATTTCACTCTTGCTGCCCAGGCTGGAGTGCAGTGGCGCGATCTCGGCTCACTGCAACCTCCACCTCCTGGGTTCAAGCGATTCTCCTGCCTCAGCCTCCCGAGTATCTGGGATTACAGGCATGTGCCACCATACCCAGCTAATTTTGTATTTTTAGTAAAGACGGGGTTTCACCATGTTGGTCAGGCTGGTCTCAAACTCCTCACCTCAGGTGATCTGCCTGCCTTGGCCTCCCAAAGGGCTGGGATTACAGACGTGAGCCACCATGCCCAGCCGATTTCTTTATTTTGAGCCTCCCAAGTATCTGGCGTTACAGGGGTGCACCACCACACCTGGTTAATTTTTTTTTTTTTTTTTTTAGAAATGGGGGTCTTGCTTTGTTGCCCAAGCTGGTCTTGAACTCCTGGGATCAAGTGATCCTCCCACCTCGGCCTCTCAAAGTGCTGGGATAGGCATGAGCCACTGCGCCTGCTGAACTCTGAATTTCTGAGAATCACATAGAACCTTGATTTGACCCGGCTGAGAAGCACATAGTGAGATGTCAAGCTCCTTGTGGCAGGGATGGTGTCTGTCCTGCTCCCTGCGGAACACCCATAGCCTGACGCATGACGGGTGCTCAGGAAATGGCCTTGAGAAGCAGCTCTATCCTGTTTTAAGAGTCTGGCTCAGCCTGTCTTCTCCTGGGAGACCTTGGAGTCCCCGTCAGAGCACACCTGTGCTAATATTGCAGGTGTAAGGTGAAGAGGGTCTGACCTGGGTGGGGATGAAGGGCATCACAGATGGGGATGAACACGGAGAGATGTCAGGGTTAGAACGAGAATACGCAAGGTGCAGATGGAGCAGCAAGGAAGGGGGCACACAGGCTTCCAGCTGCAGGTGCTCAGGAGGAGGGTGGTCCTATTCAGAGAAATGGGGGAACCAGAAGGGTGACTGATATAGGATAGGAAGACATTTTGGATTCTTCTAAAATGTAGAAGAATCAGTCCAGGTGTGGTGGCTCATGCCTGTAATCCCAGGACTTTGGGAGGCCGAGGTGGGCAGATCACTTGAGGCCAGGAGTTCGAGACCAGCCTGGCCAACAAGGCAAAACCCTGTCTCTACTAAAAAGACAAAAAAATTAGCCAGGCATGGTGGCACGTGCCTGTAATCCCAGCTACTCGGGAGGCTGAAGCAGGAGATTCCCTTGAACCAGGGAGGCGGAGCTTGCAATGAGCCGAGATCACGCCATTGCACTCCAGCCTGGGTGACAGAGCAAGACTCAGTTTCAAAAAAAAAAAAAAAAAAAAAAAATTAGCCAGATGTGGTGGTGCATAACTGTAATCCTAGCTACTTGGGAGGCTGAGGGATGAGAATCACTTGAACCTGGGAGGCAAAGGTTAGAGTGAGCCAAGATCGCACCACTGTACTCTAGCCTGGGTGACAGAGCCAAACGCTGTCTCAAAAAAAAAAAAAAAAAAAAAAGAAAGATTAAAAAGGTCAATTTTATTTTAAGTGTATTTTATCACTTTTCTTTTCTTTCTTCTTATTTTCTTTTTGGGATGGAGTTTTGGTCTTGTTGCCCAGGCTGGAGTACAATGGCGTGATCTCAGTCCACTGCAACCTCCGCCTCCCAGGTTCAAGCAATTCTCACTTATTTTATCATTCTCACCATATTTTATCACTTTAAAAAAAAAGAACAAAAGACAAAGAGGGGTCTCCACCATATTCTTTCTCACATTCACTCAACCCACATTCTTCCTCTAATCCTCTGGCTGCGCCCCTGTTGGCTTATGATTGGCTTTTTTCTGACCCGCTCTCCTAAGATCCTTGCATCTCACGCTTGCTTCTCTGTTCTCTGCTCCAGCTCCTGTTGAAATCCTCTGAGTCTCCTGAACGAGGCTGTTTTGCACAGGTGTGGGGTCCTGGTCCCCAAACAGAAGGTGGCTGCCTGGCTCTGAGTGACTAAAAGACTTCATGGCTGCTTGGGTTCAGGAAGCTCCTTATGGCTTCCTTCTAGGACACCTGCTTCTGCCTGGAGGTTTGGAGAATAGGGGGCTCTGTGGATGTGGCTCTGGGGTCAGTAGAAGCAACTGCTTGTGATCTGGCCTCCCCACTCCCATTTGGGCCCCACTCCCAACTATTCTCCCACGGCAGCCAGTACGATCTCTCAATGTGGCAAATATTGTCACTCTCCCCTAAAACCTCACCGCTCACAGACTGAGGCTTTAGTGACCCAACAGGACATCTCAAGTGCCCACATGGGCTTGCCTCGACCTACCTCATTTGTAAGAAGGCAAACCCTCGCCTCTTATGTTTCACCCATAGTTGCCTTCTTTCAGATCCTCAGATATGCCAGGGTCCCAAGCTACCCCCTCTTCCTGGGATGCCTGCTTGGAACCTCCTCACACTTCTCCTAAACTCCTACCCAGCATCTACATCTCAGTTCACAGGCTGCCTCCTCAGGGAAGCCATCCGGGCCCTCAGTCCATGTGAGATTCCTTTGCAAAGTGCTCATAGATCCTTCATTCCTTTTTTTCACAATGCTTGCCTGACTTTGTCATATGTGCACTCCTGTGATCTCTGTGATTAATGTCTGTCTCCTTCCTCTATTAATAACCATGGCTATCACATGGATAACCCTCACTGTGTGCTAAGCACTTCACATATATGGACTCACTTAGCCCTCAAAGCAACCCTATGGGGTGGTGCCATTATTATGCCCATTTTACAGATGAAGTAACTGAAGCACAGGGACTGCTGTGTGCAACTTCACACAGCTAGTAAATAAAGAAGCTGCGATTTGGACCCAGGTGGACTGGCTCCAGCCTGTACCCTTGACCACTACGATGAGGGCAGGGCTGGATATGTTTTTCCTCACCTTTGAGTTGCTGCTTAGCACAGTGTCCAACACATAGTAGGTGCTCAATAAATATTTTTTTGGGTGAATGGGTAAAGTCAGAAGGAGCCCTGTCTCCTGAACTCATCTGTGGGAGTAGAGAAGTATCTTCACTGGGCTGACCTAAGCACTTTCCTCCTCAAAGCACCCCAAGATTGTCATCAGAAGGGGCTTGGTGTTGAGAGAAGGAAGAAGGGAAAAAGGGAAGCTTGGACCTCACACTCTACTCCTCCACATTTCCATCTTCAACCTGAATCTTCCCCGGACAATGAGAATCACTGAAGTTTCTTTCCCGTTCAGCTGAGGTCCAGGGGCTAGCATGGGTAGAGAAGATCCGGTGTGAATGGGAAAGGCCATCAGGCCAATATGCTCAGATCTACAACCCCCCATGGCCAAACAGTCACCAGGGCTTGCTTAACAAGAGTCCTCCAGCACCACTGCTGGGCAGAGTCCCATATGATGGAGCTGCATCTTCTTAAACCAGATGAGGTCCTCAATTCAGGGCATACAGTGCAGATACAACATGGCCAGGAGACAGGGGCTTTGGGAAGCTTCAGAATGCTGAGTATATTGACTGATAATTGGATAAACAGATTGTGGTACAAGTATATCAACATGATAGAATATCAGCCATAAAAAGGAATGAAGTGCTGCCACATGCTACGATGCAGATGAACCTCAACGATATTAAGCTAAGTGAAATAAGCAGGTCACCAAATGTCATATACTATGTAACTGCATTCATATAAAATGTCCAGAATAGGCTGGGCATAGTGGCTTACACCTGTAATCTCAGCACTTTGGGAGGCTGAGGTGGGTAGATCACATGAGGTCAGGAGTTCGAGACCAGACTGACCAACATGGTGAAACCCCATCTCTACTAAAAATACAAAATTAGCCAGGTGTGGTGGTGCATGCCTGTAATTACAGCTACCTGGGAGGCAGAGCCAGGAGAATCTCTTGAACTTGGGAGGCAGAGGTTGCAGTGAGCCAAGATCGTGCCATTGCACTCCAGCCTGGGCAACAAGAGGGGAGGCTCCATCTCAAAATAAATAAATAAAAATGTCAAGAATAGGCAAATCAAGTCCATAGATACAGAAAGGAGATTAGTGGTTGCCAGAGACTGAGGAGAGGTTTCTGGGAAGTGACTGCTTAATGGGTACAGGGTTTTCTTTTGGGATGATGAAAATGTTTAGGATTAGAGAGCGTACGGTTGCCTGACACTGTGAATGTACTGAATGCCATTCAACAATTCAAAGTGGTTAATTTTATGTTATATAAATTTCACCTCAGTTTCTTTTTATTATTATACTTTAAGTTTTCAGGTACATGTGCACAACATGCAGGTTTGTTACATATGTATACATGTGCCATGTTGGTGTGCTGCATCCATTAACTTGTCAATTACATTAGGTATATCTCCTAATGCTATCCCTCCCCCCTCCCCCCACCCCACAACAGTCCCCGGTGTGTGATGTTCCCCACCCTGTGTCCAAGTGTTCTCATTGTTCAGTTCCCACCTATGAGTGAGAACATGTGGTGTTCGGTTTTTTGTCCTTGCGATAGTTTGCCAAGGATGATGGTTTCCACCTTCATCCATGTCCCTACAAAGGACATGAACTCATCCTTTTTTATGGCTGCATAGTATTCCATGGTGTATATGTGCCACATTTTCTTAATCCAGTCTATCATTGATGGACATTTGGATTGGTTCCAAGTCTTTGCTCTTGTGAACAGTGCCACAATAAATATACATGTGCATGTGTCTTTAAAGCAGCATGATTTATAATCCTTTAGGTATACACCCAGTAATGGGATGGTTAATTTTATGTTATATAAATTTCACCTCAGTTTCAAAAAAAAAGGATCATGATTCTACAGTTTACTGGCTGTAGCCTTGGGGTCAAGTTTCTTAACATCTCTGTGCCTCAGTTTATTCATCTGAAAAATGGGGATATCAAGAGTGCATACTTCAGAGTTGTTGTCAAAACGATGTAAACAAGCTTGTCCAACCCTGCCTTATTTGGTTGTTCTGTTTTGTTTTTTTGTTTTAGGCTTTTAGCAGCCTGAAGCCATGGTTTTTAGTTTCTGTCTCTAGTGATAAGCAGAAAAGAGGGATGAGGAAGGGGCTTTACTGGCCCAACCAAGAAAAGAAACTGAGGAGCCATAACTGTATTCTCTCCCTCAGACATCCCTGAATTGTAAAGCACTTAGAATAATGCTAGGAATGTACGAAGTGCTACATATACATTTGCTGTGGTTGCTGTGCGGTCTTAACTACAGGAATTCTTTGACCTATTCGGGTTCCACTTTAGCAGACTAAAGGGATGTGATCTGTACGCAGATGCAGTGACTGTACATGGATGCTTGGACTTCCATACTGCTCATCTTCATTTCAAATCCCAGAGTGACTGGGATCTGTGCTGAACATTATCAAGGGCTTGACTTCCCTGCAAAGCTTCCTCTGCTCTGTGTTAATACTAATTTCTCTAAACTTACTTACCAAGTAGCAGTTGTGTTTTGGGGGATGGGATTAAGAAGAAATATGTGGTAAAGGGCCCTGAAGAGGGCCCAGCACACAGTAGGTGTGCAGTAAGTGTCTGCTCTGTTAGTCTGGGGGTTAGTCTTGCTCAATTGGTCCCATATAAACTCTGGTCTTCGGGAGACTGTAGAGAAGCCCTGGCCACCTGTTCCTGTCTTTACCAGCTGGTGTTTCCTACTGAGGCGCCATGGAGCAGCTCTCTCATGTTCTCAGCCTGCGGCTCTGGTAGTATCTCAAGACAGACATTTGGATCTGCAGTTAATGTAACTTACATGTCCATGTGGTGGGCCCTGATAGTTTGGACTTTGTTGATGTGGATACCCAAGAGGCAGAAGTAGCAGGAAAATGTCAACATGGTTTCCCCTGCCTGGTTTCTGTATACATACACTGCCCCACATGTGCAAACGTGTGTACACACCACAGACTGAATGTGAACCCCGGGAGGGGCCAAGGACACACTCAACCCTCCTCTCTTTACATCTGATTTGCCCCAAGACACCGGACTTAGGAAAAGACACAGTGTGAGGCGTGAGGTCTCTCTCTCTCTCTTTTTTTTTTTTTTTTTTTTTTTTAGATGGAGTTTCACTCCTGCTGCCCGGGCTGGAGTGCAATGTCATGATCTCAGCTCTCTACCACCTCTGCCTCCTGGGTTCAAGTGATTCTCCTGTCTCAGCCTCCCAAGTAGCTGGGATTACAGGCGCCCGCCACCACACCCAGCTACTTTTTGTATTTTTAGTAGAGATGGGGTTTTACCATATCGGCCAGGCTGGTCTCAGACTCCTGACCTCAGGTGATCCACCCATCTTGGCCTCCCAAAGTGCTGGTGGCATTACAGGCATGAGCCACCACACCCAGCCGAGGTCTCTTACTACAAGTCCAAGCCAAGAAACAGGGCAAAGTGCTATTGGCTTCATCTCTTCCTGCAGCCAATCTAAAGTAGGCCAGGTATAATTCCTTGCCTCGGTAAATAGAACATACGAATAAAACCATCATACCTTTCGAGGATTCAAGATCTAGCAGGGCCTCAGAGTTTGAAAGTATCCATTTTCCACTTTCATCCACGTGCTGGGTACACAACCAGCTCCAGCTGGAGCCTACGTGGACCAGGATGTCATGTCAACAGCAGAGCAGGAGCACCTAGAGTCTCTAAACACTCTCAGCTTGCGTATGCCAAGTTCAGGAATATTCTTCATGTCCACAAGTGAATTGGATCTATTCTGTTTTTCTTGAAACAGTCTCACGTCTATCTTTGCTTTTCCCACCCTTTTTTTTTTTTTTTTTTTTTTTAGACAGCGTCTCAGTCTGTCACCCAGGCTGGAGCGCGGTGGTACGATCTCGGCTCATTGCAGCCTCTGCCTCCCGAGTTCAAGTGAGTCTCATGCCTCAGCCTCATGAGTAGCTGGGGTTACAGGTATGCACAACCATGCCTGGCTAATTTTTGTATTTTTAGTTGAGTCGGGGTTTCATCATGTTGGCCAGGCTGGTCTCGAACCCCTAACCTCAAGTGATCCACCTGCCTTGGCCTCCCAAAGTCCTGGGATTACAGTTGTGTGCCACCGTGCTTGGCCCACTTTTCCCTCTTTTGACAGAGATGTGAGTTCAAGAAATACTTTGCTACTCTTTTAACTCTATCAAAGAGAAAAGGGAAAGTAACTCAAGTCCCACAGTTACTTATAGCCATGGAGTAATTTGGGCATTTATCAACCACTTTCTGTCATTAGACGCTGTGGTAGGTCCTTATCATGCAAGATTTCATTGAAACTTCCTAAGAACCCTCCGAAATAGGCACTAATATTGTGTTTATTTTAAGGTAGAGAATTTGAGATGCAGAAAGTTGAAGCAACTTGCCCAGTTGGTGGTGGGGCAGAATCTGAAACCAGGATGTCTGCGTCCAGGGCCTAAACAAGGCTAGTGACCAGTAAACACCAGTGCATCTTTAATATCTAAGAGAGGAAGAATCTGCCCACACCCCCCCACCCCCCACAGTGAGGGTTGTGCAGGGGACACAGGGAGGTGACGTCAAATCACAGAGCAGCTCACAGTGGCTACGTCGGGCTGGCTGGACCCTTAAGTATCCCCCAAGTTTTCAGTGCCTCTTAGAAGTGCCTGACTTGGGCACTACCGCCCCTTTGAGAAGACTCCTAAGTTTGCTCATTCTTTCTGGGATGGGAGAAGTAGTGGTTTTGGAAGCTACAGATGGGGCGGCAGATGGAAACTGAAAACCTATCAGCATTGCCCAGGATGAAACCATTCATCTGCAAAATTCATATGTTTTTGTGTAGGGCAACTTCATGAAAACAACAGCAAGAGGAACCAGCAGTGCTTGATGCATAAAGTGCCTCTGGCTATGAGGCTGGCAAAGAAGAGTGGGCAAAGGAATTCGTGGGAGGCACCATGGAAATGAGATCAGTGAAGTAGAGGAAGATGATGAGAAAGGCCAAGAGACACAGAGTGACCTGGGGCACTAAAGCAAAAAAGCCACAAATAAGACAACTCTCTTTTCTGAACCCCAAAATAGGTTGCACGCATGGCCTGAGAAAGGATTTCTGGGCCTCTCAGAGATACAAGATGAGACCTTGGATGTACCTTACGTATAAATGGCTGACATTCATGGAGCACCTTCCAAGTGTCCGGCAGGCTGCTAGGTTCTATTATTGTATCCTGATTTCACAGAAATTGGATTTACTTGCCCGCGGTCACGCTGCTAGCTAAGTGGCAGAACTCAGATTCGAGCCGTAAGCAGTTTGACGAGAGTGCAGGCACTCACCCTCCCGGGTGCTGAGCCGAGCTGGACTCTTTAGGGGAGGTGGCCACGCAAAGCAAGCCAACAATGGCCTCTAGGGGGCAGCAATGCGCATGCCTACCTGGCCTCAAGTGGTCTTGGGCTTAATGCGGGCCCCCAACCTAGGCTGGCATGACCTCTGAGGCCTCCACTGGGAATCCAGAGAAGGAAGAATGTGGGAACTTTGAGCACAGCCCCTAAGACTGAGGAACAGACAATGGGGGTCCTCCCAGGACCATCCTGGACATCCCTGCTGCAGGCAGTCCAGCCACTACTCCACCCCGCCACAAGCTCATGGGGTGGGACTGTTTCCTTCTGTGCTTTCAAGGTGGCCTGGGGCCATCCTGCCAGTCCAGTTCTGCTGATTTCCCTAAGAGGCCGACTAAAAGCCAGAAGGAATACCAACTTTGCAACCAGACGAAACTGGTTCTAATCCCCACTCTGCCATGCATTCATCACATGACATTGGGCCTCAGTTTGCCCCTCTGTAAAACAGGTTTGTTGTAAGGGTTGAAACAAGTGTCTGCCACACTAGCTGCTATGCTCAGCATTTTGGGACATTTCCAAACTCGGTCCCTTCATGGAAGATGGAGAGGGAATGTTCTAACCCCTCCTTGCCATGTACTTGTCTAAACTCACTTCTCCTCATTCTTTTATTATACTCTATCCATTGTTTAAATTTCTCAAACGCAACAAGTTTGTTTCTGTGCTACATTGTGCCCAGGCTGTTCCCTCTATAAGAAACGGTGATTCTCAAGTGGAGACAATTTTAGCTCCCAGAGGTCACGAGTCAATGTCTGGAGACATCTGTGGTTGGCAAAAGTGGGCAGGGTGTGTTCCTGGCATCTAGTGGGTAGAGGCCAGAGATGATGCTACGCATCCTGCAATGCACAGGATGGCACCCACAGTAAAGAATTATCCATCCCCAAACATCAGCAGTGCCACTGCTAGGAATCCCAGTATAGAAGGATCTCTTTCTTATTTCCCTCCCAATGGATCCCTTCTTGTCTTCTAGGTCTCGGTTCAAAGCTGAATATTCAGAGGCCTTTCTGACCTCCTGCTTATGGCCCTCGAGTTTTTCTCCACACCCACATCTTCCTTTTTTTTTGTTGTTTTTTGTTTGTTTGTTTGTTTTTTTGAGATAGAGTCTTGCTGTGTCGCCAGGCTGGAGTACAGTGGCGCGATATCGGCTCACTACAACCTCCACCTCCTGGGTTCAAGCGATTCTCCTGCCTCAGCCTCCCAAGTAGGGGGGATTACAGGCACGCACCACCATGCCCGGCTCATTTTTGTATTTTTAGTAGAGATGGGGTTTCACCATCTTGGCCAGGCTGGTCTTGAACTCCTGACCTTGTGATCCACCTGCCTTGGCCTCTCAAAGTGCTGGGATTACAGGTGTGAGCCACTGCACCCGGCCCACATCTTCCTTGCTTTATGGCTTGTTCACACCTTGCATGATGTATCTTTGGCATGATCATCTAACTCCATCTTCTCAGCTAGGATACACATTCCATGAGCAGAGGAGAAGTACAGGAAGCTGCATCACTTTTGTTCACAAAATGCACTACTTCGAATGTAGCACGGTAGTTGCTCAGTAAATGTTTGTTGAACAAATGAACAAAATTGTGGTAAGTAAAATTCTACCAGCAATGTTCTATAACCATTCCCGTTTATCCCTCTGTCTTATGGACAAAAGAAAACAGTTGTCTTTCTAGTGCCTGTCATTTTTCTCAGGTTCAAGGATGTCAGGTGTACCCCATTCAAACTGACCAGAGATTGTGCCTCCCCAGTACCTTCTGCAGTCTAGGGTCTCCCAGCAGATGGTGGGATGCCCCCAAGCCTAGGAATGAAGAAGACCCCCAGTGACCAAGCTGTGAAGAAGAAAGCAGCCACTTCTAGCTTTAAAGAGAGGTAGGTCTTCCTTCCATGCTTGTACCTTGTTTGGGTTCTGATTCAAAACTCAAACTCTTGGGAATATGTGACCTAGATATTTGATGCCATTAAAACATGCCTGCTAATATTTTAGGTATAAGCATCATTGTGATGCTGTCTTAAAAAAGAGATCTTATCTTTTCTAGATATATACTGAAATATTTATAGATACAATTCTGTGATATCTTATATTTCTTTCAAAATAACCCACTGTTGGGGGAAGAGGATGAAAGTCCAGATACAAGAACAATGGCCATGAATTAACCTGGGTGACATCCACGTGGGAGTTCATTACACTATTCTCTTGGTACTCTTGTGCATGTTTGAAAGTTGCCTTAATAAAAGTTTTATTTTTTTAGGACCCCTTCATCTAGGTCTCCTGGGAATGCTGAACCCTATGGCCTCATGCCATCAGAGGGAGGAAGATCCCCCTCTTCACCCCCATCCACTTTCCTTTTCACCCTTGTCAGCAAATCCAGATGGAAAACACAGTCAAAGGAAAAAGCTGCCCTCTCAAGAGAAAATAACAGCCTGGCACGATGGCTCACACCTATAATCCCAGCACTTTGGGAGGCCAAGGCAGGCGGATCACCTGGGGCCAGGAGTTTGAGACCAACATGGTGAAACACCATCTCTATGCTACTTCAGAGGTTGAGGTAGGAGAATCACTTGAACCTGGTGGGTGGAGGCTGCAGCGAGCTAAGATCACACCACTGCACTCCAGCCTGGGTGACAGAGCGAGACTCTGTCTCCAAAATATATATATATATATAGATATATATACCGTTCAGAATATCATTCAAAGTATCATGCCAGTGGCTTCCCTCTTGCTTGGACTAACAGCCAAATTCTAGGATCACCACGATCTGGCCTCAAATTACTCTCTGACTTTATCTCTCTTGTTATGCTACCCCTCACTTACTCTGTTACAGCTCCACTGAACCCTGCTGTTCCTCGCACAGGCCAGGCATGGACCCACCTCTGGGCTCAGCCCCTGCCTTTGCCCCTGCCTGGACCACTTTCTCTGTAGGCGTGACTCTCTTTTTCATCTTCTTCTGTTCTTATCCGTGAAAACCTTCCAGGCCACCGTTGGTAAAATTACAACTGTCCCCTACTTTTGCCCCTTACTTTATTTTTCTAAGATATCATTTAACTTATTTTGTTGTTTGTCTCCCTACTTGAATGGAAGCTTGTGATGGTTACTATTGAGTGTCAACTTGATTGGACTGAAGGATGCAAAGTACTGTTTCTGGCCATGTCTGTGAGGGTGTTGCCAAAGGAGATTAACATTTGAGTCAGTGGACTGGGAAAGGCAGACCCACTCTCAGTCTGGGTGGGCATAATCTAATCAGCTGCCAGCGTGGCCAGAATAAAAGCAGGCAGAACGTGGAAGGAATAAGCTGGCTGAGTCTCCCATGCTGGATGCTTCCTGCCTTTGAACATCAGACTCCAAGTTCTTCAGCTTTGGGATCTTTGGGCCTTCGACCACAGACTGAAGACTGCACTGTGGGCTTCCCTACTTTTGAGGTTTTGAGAATCAGACTGGCTTCCTTGCTCCTCAGCTTGCAGACGGCCTATCGTGAGACCTCGCCTTGTGATTGTGTGAGTCAATACTCCTTAATAAACTCCTCTTTATATATACACCTATCCTGTTAGTTCTGTCCCTCTAGAGAACCCTAATATAAAGCTCCACGCGGGTTGGAGTTTCCGTCTGTTTAGTGCACTGGCATATCAGCTAATAGAGCTGGGAAAACCACGTGCTCAGTCTCTATCTGTTGAATGCATGAATGAATGAGTGAATGAATCAATGATTCTCAGGTCCAATCAGAATCCTATCCTGAGCGATCCTGTGGAGACTATGCATCAGTCTCCTTCTGCCTCGTGAGTTCCCAGCCATGACCAGCCAGAGCAGGACGTCAGACAAGACTGGCTTGGGGCCCTTGGCTGCCTTACCTGATGGGGTAGTCGGCCGCACTCAGGTTGATGAAGAAGTCCCAGGGCCAGTCGGTCATCTCCAGGAGGTCCCGCATGCTCTGCAGGTAGGTGGACAGGAGGCTGGCTCCTCCCCAGATGGTGGCCATTCTCCAGGGGGTGACGCGGACATTGCTGTACTGCCTGGAGACCTGGAGCACTTGCCGATGCAGGTAATTAGAGCGCTTTTCCCAGGAGAGAAAGGGTGATGACAGTCAGTGGCCTAGAAAATACCCAGGCATGCCCCTCACCCCTGTCCCCTCTCTGTGTCTTCCCTCCTGGTTGGGCACTTCTGAGCACAGTGGCCTTTGCCAAGTAAATGATCCTGGACTGGAGTGTCTTTCTGTACTGCAATTCAAACTTGGATTATTTTTTACATTTCAAATTAGCTATTTGAAATGCAGATTCACTGGCCGCACTTCTGAGCTAATGGTTCACTAGGCTTGGGCTGGTGGTGCCTGGGACTTCACATTTTTAAAATTTTATCTTATTTTATTTTATTTTGAGATGGAGTCTTGCTTTATTTATTTACTTAGACAGAGTCTCGCTCCGTCACCCGGGCTGGAACAAAGTGGTGCCATCTCAGCTCACTGCAACCTCCACCACCCAAGTTCAAGCAATTCTCCTGCCTCAGCTTCCCAAGTAGCTGGGATTACAAGTATGCGCCACCACGCCCAGCTAAGTCTTGTATTTTAGTAGAGATGGGGCTTCACCATGTTGGACAGGCTGGTCTGGAACTCCTGACCTCAGGTGATCCGCCCACCTTGGTCTCCCAAAGTGCTGGGATTACAGGCATGAGCCACTGCACCTGGCCAACTTTGCATTCATATACATGACAGCTGCATGGGGTCTGAGGAAGACAAGCTGGGAAATATGGCTCCATCTAAACCCATGTATATTTCGGAGGCAGAATTTTTGTTTTCTGTCCCCACTCCTACTGATTGCTCCTCCATTATCCTCTCACAGGTCTGCTAGAAGCCGACCTTTTGGACAAGACTTCCCCCTTTGCCTTCTTGACTAAAGGCATAATTGTTTCACCAATAGAAACCTCAGGGACAAGGTAGCTCGGGAGTCAGCAGGGCTGATGCAGGTTTTTGTTAATAAAGTTTTATTGGTACACAGCCATGCTCATTTGTTGACATGTTCTCCTTGGCTGCTTTAGCACAAGGGCAGTGCTGAGTAGCTGTGACAGAGACTATGTGCCCTGCAACACCTAAAATATGTACTATCTTGCCTTCCATAGAAAAAGTGTACGCACTCCTGGGATAGTGATATGGTTTGGTTGTGTCCCCACCCAAATCTAATCTTGAATTGTAGCTCCCATAATTCCCACGTGTTATGGGAGGGATCCAGTGGGAGATAACTGAATCACAGGGGTGGTTTCTCCCATACTGTTCTCGTGGTAGTGAATAAGTCTCATGAGATCTGATGGTTTTACACCGGGAAACTTCTTTTGCTTGGCTCTCATTTTTCTCTCTTGCTGCCGCCATGTAAGACTTGCTTTTTGCCTTCCACCAGGATTGTGAGGCTTCCCCAGCTGCTTAGAACTGTGAGTCCATTAAACATCTTTCTTTATAAATTACTCAGTCTCAGGTATGTCTTTATTAGCAGCATGAAAATGGACTAATAAAGGTAAGCTATTCCCACAAAGTATGTGAGAGGCAGGCAGAGGGCATTGGGTAGAGGGGAGAGGTAAGAAACAGCATTTAGGGGCCGGGCACGGTGGCTCACACCTGTAATCCCAGCACTTTGGGAGGCTGAGGCGGGCAGATCACGAGGTCAAGAGATCGAGACCATCCTGGCCAACATGGTGAAACCTTGTCTCTACTAAAAATACAAAAATTAGCCGGGTGTGGTGGCATGCACCTGTAGTCCCAGCTACTTGGGAGGCTGAGGCAGGAAAATTGCTTGAACCCAGGAGGCAGAGGTTGCAGTGAGCGGAGATCATGCCACGGCACTCCAGCCTGGTGACTGAGCGACATTCCATCAAAAAAAAAAGAAAAAAAACCCCCCAAAAACAGCATTTATCATTTATGGACAAAATTGTAAGTCGCAGCTGGAAACTTTGAAACCAACACACACATAGAGACAGCACTCTAGGGCCACACGCTCTGTGGAGAGGCAGCTGGTCAGCTTCCAAGCCTTTTCTGAAAGCAGGCAGTCTGGACTAGCAATGCAGAAGGAGGGTATCAGGGAGGGACGGACAGACCCCGAAGAAAGCCCAGCAAGGGGTGATCACAGAGGCCTCTCACCTTGTCCACGTGGATGTAGTAGAAGTGGTCTTTGTGGTAGATGGCCTTGAACATGCGCTGCAACTGCCGAGAGGCACGGCCGTGGACCACCAGGACAAAGGCGATTCTGACCGGGTTGGCTGGCATGTACTCCACGGAGTCCTCGTCCCACTGCACGTTCTTGTTGGCTTTACCTGGGGAAAATCCAAGAGAACAGAGAGGAGAAAGTGAGGCTCTGCCATCCTTTGCAGGGGTGGGAAGTTTCTCTGGTGCTTCTTTTGGGGACTATTTTAGGGGCACAGTCATCAAATTGGGCCTTAAAACATAATTCAATGCCACAAAGCACATCTTAGATTCTCACACTGTCAGGCACAAAAGGGGTTAGGGGACCCTGGGGTTGTTACGACATAGTTTCCATTCTGAGGAGCTTAAAAATGCTGGAAGAGACACATGGACACATATTAAGCTACTGAACAAGGCAGGAGGAGGTGAGAGCTATAAGAGATGTATCTCTGAATGACAGAGGAAGAAGCAGTTAATTTCGAGTTAGTGAACGTAAGATACATGTGTTGTTTTTGCCTGTCCAGAATTCATTCTCCCTTCTTCTAATAGCATCCAATATATTGTTTGTTTTAACGGTGGTAAGAACAGATAGCATGAAATCTCCCCTCTTAATAAATGTTTAAGTGTACACTACAGTACTGCTGCCTATTAATACAATGTTGTACAGCAGGATCTTTAAATTTACTTGTCCTGCATGACTGAAACTTCATCATCCAATACCTTTTGTGGCATCATCCTCCTCTCCTCTATTCTTAGTCCATATGGGTGGGGAAGACCTAACTTCATCATCAATTTCAGGGGTGGACCTACAGCTTAGGCCTGGCCAATGGGAATGCTGATTCTCCATAGCCACAGTATTGTTTAGAGATGAACATATGACTCAACCAAGTTAATTAACCAATAAGACAGAATGCTAGACTTTTGTTAGAACTACTACATAAGAGAGGTTATCTTTTTTTTTTTTTTTTTGAGACGGAGTCTTACTCTGTTGCCCAGGCTGCAGTGCAGTGGTGCGATCTTGGCTCATTGCAACCTCCACCTCTCAGGTTCAAGTGATTTTCCTGCCTGAGCCTCCTGAGTAGCTGAGATTACAGGCACGCAACACCATGCCTAGCTAATTTTTGTGTTTTTAGTAGAGATGGGGTTTCATCATGTTGGCCAGGCTGGTCTCGGAACTCCTGACCTCAGGTGATCTGCCTACCTTGGCCTCCCAAAGTGCTGGGATTACAGACGTGAGCCACTGTGCCCGGTGAGAGGTTCTTTTTCTGTTACACAGGAGACTAGAAGATTCTATGAGCCTTTCTGTTCCCACACGGAGAGAGGTTGCCTGAGAAGAAAACTAATGTGGAGTACATTGCCAAGGGGGGATGAGGGTCCAGGTGCTTGTGGCCTGCCTTGAGCTCCTGCATCAGTAAGGCTACAGATCACCCACTGTCATCTATCATGTTCTTTTAAATCCAAATCCTATACCACATCCACTTGGATAAATAGTCCCAGACATATTTTATTCCGAAAATCAGCCTCAAAGACTCCTCTCTTTCTTTCTCTTGCTTCAGATAAAAACACAGCTTCCTAGTTTAGTTTATTACAATCCCAACTAGAAATCTCCTAGCTTTCCTCAGCCTGATTTCACTTGGGTCCAACCCAATTTCTTAAGAGTTCTGGGTTTATGGGACCCAGGACATTGTCAGGGTAGTAGCTGCAAGTGTCCCAGCATCTAAACCGGGAGAACTGAGATGGAGACTGTGGGGCTGGGGGATTAGGACATCGGGAGTCTAAGCTGTCATCAGAAGGCTGAATGGTTGCTGAATGAACGAGGCTCTTTCTACGTAGTTCCAGGAGACAAGACAAGATTGACGTAGATAATATCCAAATCACACTACACAGCCTCTATGGCTGGTGTGATCTAACTACTCAGATCTCTCTGCCCTCGATTGGTGGGTCTCACATTCCATCTTGTCCTCTGGCCTTCTTTCTCTTCCTCAAACAAGCTCATTTCTGCCTTAGGACCTTCTCCCTGGCTTCTTGTGATCTGGAACGCCCTCTCCCCAGATCTCTGCGTGGCTGCATCTTCTTGTCATTAGTTCACAGTCCAAAAAGGGGACTCACCACCACCTCTTTTACTCTCTTTCACCTCACCCGCACCTCTTTTACTCTCTTTCACCTCACCGGATTTCAACTTTCTTCATAGCATGTAACACTGTCTGCAATTGTTTATCTGTTTACTTGCTTATTATCTGAACACACCACTAGAACATTAGCTCCAAGAGATGAGGGGCTATTTTGGCCTTGTTTACCACAGAATCTGCAACACTTGAACAGTATCTGACACACATCTGGTTCTCGGTGAAACAAAAGTTACAGGAAGGCACATTTGGGATCAGTAAAATAACAATACCTTTTATTGAGCATTGACCAGCCCTTGACGTTCATTAGATAATTTAATCCTCGTAATGATCCTACAAAGTAATGCTATTATCCCCGCTTTCCAAATGAGGAAACCACAGCTTAGAAGAGGCCAAGGGATTGGCTCAAGGTCACACTGCTTTAATTAGTTAAGCTGAGATTCAAACACAGGTCTGATTCCAAAGATCATGCCCTGAACCACTAATACACACCATATGATCATACCTAGAGTTTGGAAGGAAAAGTTTATAACAATTGCTTTTAGTTGCTTGTTGCTAACCAAATACTTTGTAAGTTAGTTATTGCAGGCAGGTAGGCATGCATTTAAGGACTAACATAGGTATTCCAGTATTTCTGTATTAGATGAGATGCTGATTCTAGGTGATTAATAAGGCTGTATCTTTTCATCCATCCATCTATTCCTCCACCCATCCACCCATTAATTTATTCATCGATCGAAATCCAACCACTCATCCATTCATCCATCCACCATTCCACCCATTTATCCATTTATTTGTCCATCCAAATCCAACCACTAATCTGTCCATCCATCTACCCACCCATTCATCCATCCCTCCACCCATCCACCCATTCATCCATTTATTCATCCATCTAAATCCAACCACTTATCTGTCCATCCATCCACCCACTCATCCATCCCTCCACCCATCCACCCATTCGTTCATGCATTTATTCATCCATCCAAGTCCAACCATTCATCCATTGCTCCACCCATTCATCCATACATCCATTTATTCATCCATCCAAATCTAACTACTCATCTGTCCACTCATCCATATCTAACCATTCATCCATCCAAGCATACAGCAAACCCTCCAACTATGCATCCAGCAAAGCCTCCAAGAGCTTATCATCCCAAACACCATCCATCCACTTAAGGTGTATGGGGCCTTTGAGATTAACCCTTGCTTTTCCCTGTAGCCATGAACATCTTTTGCCATAGTTTTTGAATGAGCAAATTAATGAATGTGTTCTGAAGAAGAGTGGCTGCTCTGATCCAGAGGAGCTGGTGTTTCTTAAGTGCCTCCTATGCATCCATTGTTATTTGACCCTGGGAAGAATGCGTTATCATCCTCTGAGGCTCAGAGAGGTCAGCACATTTCCCAGGTCACACAGTGAGTGAGGACAGAGGTGGGAGGGGAAGCTGAGTGTTGCCGAGTCCAAAGCCAGCCCTGATATTTCCACTTGCTCTCTGCAGAAGTGGAGATTTGCGATATAGAGGATAGGTGTAAGGACTCTATGCTGGTCTTTAAAAAGGGCTTGGATGTTGATGCTGAGGTCTTTTACAACTTCTCTTTAGAGTTTTAAAAGGCAGAACAGATTTACAGACAGACACAGACATGGATGCTTTTCTTTTGGAGAAAGGGCAGAGTCCTGTGAAATCAAAGACAAATCACTCCAGCAAGAGAGCTCCCTTGGCTTAAATATAAAGTCATCTTTGGGTCAGACAGTTAGTCTGGGGAGCTGCAAAGAGAATGGGGAACAAAAAACCCAGAGCTCTTCTGAGTACAGCTATTCTGGGGAAGGGGTGGGTGGGAAGGAACAAAAATATCTAAAGAAAGGAGACATGCAGAGAAGGAGAAATAGAGATGCGGATGGGGATGGGGGGCAGAGGGGGAAGACAGCGAGTCAGGAGAAAGATCAACCATTTACTGAGTGCCTACTATGTGTTAAGCAATTTCTGTGCATGATTTTATTCATTTCTATCAAAACTGCTATGAAAACAGAGCTATTATCTTTCTATTGTAGGCACAAGGAAGCTGAGGCTTGGAGAGGTCCCAGTTATAAAGTAGCTGAGCTGAGAATGGAGTGAGTCTGTGATCCCAGAGCCCTGTCATGGTCACCATGCTCAATCAAACTGTCCTCATTTCAAAAAGAGGAAAATCCGTCCCTAGAGGAAATGTGTCAGCTTTCAGCTGCAGGACAGATATAACAATGACATGTGGTCAGAGCTATGTGGGTCTTTATGAACACGGAACTCTTTGAAAGACCAAAACCCAAACAGTGCCCAGCTCCAAAAAAAAAAAAAAAAAAAAAAAAGAATTTAACAATGTAATCAGATTCCCATGGCACAAAACAGAAAATAAGTGGAAAAATCAGAGTGATTAGAGGCAGCAGGAGAAGCTGACTTCAGATGAATGTTAACAAGCCAGGTTTATCGAGAGAGAATATCAAGTATATTTTTGCAGTGCAGGTGTGAAGGCTGAGGATGATGGGGGGTCCCGGAGAGCTCCCCCAGTAGATAGCTGTGCTGTGTTAGTTCTGTTACTCAAATTCCCTATTTCTTAGCAGCATTGTGGGTCAAACGAGGACTATGTAATCCTTGGGCTCCAAAGACATAGCAGAGATGAAGGTGCTTTGCAAGGGTCAACATGCTGTTCCACTGTTGTGGTGCTGGCAAAGATCATGTTAGCAGTGTCCTGCAATAATGATTTGGGAGGAGAAAGCAAGGTGCAGGGGTTTAGAACATGACCTGTGGTCAGGCAGATGTGAATGACCTTGGACCTTTTATGCAATCTCTCCAAGCCTTAGTATTCTGATCTGTAAAATGGGTATGTATAATCACAGAATCCACCCCACATGGACATTCACATCCAGAAGAGAGAGCACAGTGCCTGGCATCTAGCAAATCCTCAATAAATTATACTGTCATAGCCATCATTTCTATGTGGCTGCTCATCCACGATGATCAGGATTTAACCAACAGGCCCAGCTCCAGAGTTCTACCTCAAAGCTGCACTGACTCCC
Source organism: Homo sapiens (assembly GCF_000001405.40). Lineage (NCBI taxonomy): Eukaryota > Metazoa > Chordata > Mammalia > Primates > Hominidae > Homo > Homo sapiens. The sequence goes on from NW_019805500.1 coordinate 206,960, forward strand.
AGGGCTGTGTGTACTCTAGAGCCTGCTGCTTGTAAATAAACATCTACAACCGGAATTTCCCTCTGCAGCGTATGCCCAGACCACAATTAATAACAAATGTGAAGGAGCTGCTTGACTGGAATAGTTACTCTACCAACAAAGCCCTCGATTCTATTTATACTCTGAAAGGGCTGCTTCCGGCTGCTGCAAGGGGCACTTTCTGACTTACTTCCAACTAAGAGGGTTAGTTGGGTCTTGGGAACACAGAGACATGGAAACAAGGTTGTATGCAAATGAGGCTTGGGTTAGGAAGCTCCCAGCTGGAGCCCAGCTTCTATGCTGCCTGGGAAGGTGTGACTGGGATTCAGAGCTGGGGTGTAGAATGCAACCTTGCACTGTGTGGATTTAGGAAAGACACCGCCCCTCTCTGATTGTCAGTTCTTCATTTACAAAGTGGGAAGAGAGGTCCATCTCTGACCCCGCTGGGTTCCAGGGTGATTCATGATCACAGATGAGGAAAAGTTTCACAGCGGCAGCAGGCGCGTTGCAGAGGAGCGGGATTCGTCTTACTGGGGGAGAAAACCTGCACGCTCAAGGTTCTTTGTTAGATCTGGGTGGGAGATGCCTTTATCCTAGTGGGAAATTTTAAAAGAGGTTTTCTGGTGATTAAACTTGGGAGCTGTCTGGTGCCCAGAAAGAATCCCCTGCTCTCGATGGGTTTAGAAAAGGCGGTGCTGTGTGGCGACAAGCATACTGGATAAAGAGCAACGAGGTGGATTCAAATTCCTGCTTCTGCTGTGAACCAGCCACGGGGGCCTGGGCAAGTCAATTTCTTTCCTTGGTCCTGTAGAATCTCAAAGACTAGTAACGCTATCAGATGCATGTCAAATACTTATCATGCTTGCGTCAAATACTTCTCATGGTGGCTTGCGTCTGTAATTCCAGCTACCCTGGAGGCTGAGGCAGAAGGACTGCTTGAGTCCAGGAGTTCGAGGCTGCAGTGAGCTACGATGGTGTCACTGCACTCTGGCCTGGGTGACAGAGTGAGACCCTGTCTCTAAAAATAAATAAATCAGAAATAAACAAACACTCATTATGGCCTAAGCACCAGTCAAATGTGATCTCATTATTTAATTGTCCCAAGGTCTCAGGAGGCAGGTGCCATGTTAGCAGTTGGTGCGAGAATGGAAACCACCACTTGGGTGTGCCAGACTCCAAAACCCCTATTTTGGAAAAACCCAAATGAGGGAGATGAAATTTCTGGATATTTCTGGAAATTTCTGAATCATCTGGAATTCTAACCCGATCCAGGAGTTAGCATTGCCACATAGAGAACTGTACTCCCTTGAGAGTCAGGTTGGTTTTCTTTTCTTTCTTTTTTTTTTTTTTTTTTTTTTGAGACAGAGTTTCACTCTTGTCACCTAGGCTGGAGTGCAATGGTGCAATCTTGGCTCACTGCAACATCTGCCTCCCAGGTTCAAGCAATTCTTCTGCCTCAGCCTCCTGAGTAGCTGGGATTATAGGCACCTGCCACCACGCCTGGCTAAATTTTTTGTATTTTTGATAGAGACAGGGTTTCACCGTGTTGGCTGGGTTGGTCTCGAACTCCTGACCTTAGGTGATCTAACTGTCTCAGCCTCCCATAGTGCTGGGATTACAGGCGTGAGCCACAGCGCCTAGCCCAGGTTGGTTCTCTTGATACCTGTCAGTTCGTTCCCTATGAGCCAAGGTCATGCTCTTATCTCTTGTAGGATGCCAGCCTTGCCCCTGGACCTGGTACAGAGCTAAGTTTGGGGGAGAGGCCTCAATGAATGATTTCTGACTGACAGATTTAGCCAGACAGCTTCATCCACATACAGGGTCCCGGTGGTGGGGATGAGGGGGCAAAGTTGAAGACTCAGGCCTGAGAGGTTGCCCATGGCTGTCTCCTCTCATCCAGCAAACTGGATGGAGGCTAGGCACCCCCACTTTTCCTTGAGGCTTTTGGGTGGTCTGTGGACCCTTGCTCAGCAGCACCAAGCCCTGCTGGGAGGAATCAGTCAACGGCCCAGACTGCTCTGCACCGCAGCTGCTGCTCATGCGGGGCCACCAGGTCCCCTCCCACCCAGCTTAATGAGAAGAGAGGGGTGGAGGGGATGTGAACTGGGGGTCATGGGGTCCACAGAGGGGAGCTGAAAGAACATAGGTCCAAGGATGAAGGTGGCCAAGCCAGCACCTGTCAGGTCTCAGGAGAAATGACCCTTCCTTGGGAAGCCCTCCCTGACTCTCTTCCCCATCCCTTCATTTAAAAAATATTTTTAATGACTTTTTTTTCTTTTTCTTTTTCAGAGATTGAGTCTTGCTTTGTAACCCAGGCTGGAGTGCAGTGGCATGATCATAGGTCACTGCCACCTCAAATTTCTGGGCTCAAGGGATCCTCACACCTCAGCCTCCCAAGTAGCTGGGACTATAGGTGACCACCACCATGTGGGCTAATTTTGAAATGTTTGGTAGAGACAGTGCCTTGCTATGCTGTCCAGGCTGGTCTCAAACTCCTGGGCTCAAGCAATCCTCCCTTAGCCTCCCAAAGTGCTGGTGTTATAGGTGTGAGCTACTGTGCCTGGCCCCCATCCCTTCTTTGAGTTCCCTGTCACAGCCCCTCTGAACATCCTGCACTTCTCTTTAAAAAAAAAAAAAAGTTGTAGTCCAAGATAATACATGCTGAGTATCCCTTATGTGAAATGCCTGGAACCAGAAGTGTTTCCAATTTTGAATTTTTTCAGATTTTGAAGTATCTGTGTATATGTAATGAGATATTTTGGGGAAGGGACCCAAGCCTAAACACAAAATCCATTTCTGTTTCATATACACTTTATACACATAGCCTGAAAGTAATTTTATACAATATTTTAAATAATTGTGTGCATTAATCAAAGTTGCATTAAGCATTTATGTATAGAATTTTCCGCTTGTAGCATTATGTGCCCAAAATGTTCTGGATTTCGGAGTACTTCAGATTTTGGATTTTTGAATTAAGGATGCTCTACATGGATAACATATAATTTACTATTTTAGCCTTTTTTGGTTCGAGATGGAATCTCACTGTCACCCAGGCTGGAGTGCTGTGGCACAATCTCGGCTCACTGCAACCTCCACCTCCCGGGTTCAAGCGATTCTCCTGCCTCAGCCTCCTGAGGAGCTGAGACTACAGGTGCCCACCACCACGCCCGGCTAATTTTTTTGTATTTTTAGTAGAGATGGGGTTTTGCCATGTCGGCCAGGCTGGTCTCAAACTCTTGACTGCAGGTGATCAGCCCACCTTGGCCTCCCAAAGTGCTGGGATTACAGGCATGAGACACATCTGGCCTATTTTAAGCATTTTTAAGTTTACAGTTTAGTATAATAAATATACTTACACTGTTGTGCAACTATTATCACCATCCATCTCCAGAACTCTTTTCATCTTGCAAAACTGAAACTTTCTATCCATTGAACAATAACTTCCCACTCTCCCCTCCTTCAGCTCCTGGAAAGCTTCATTCTACTTTCTGCCTCTATGAATTTGATAAGGAACCTCATGTAAGTGACATCAGACATTATTCTTCCTTTTGTGTCTGGATCCTTTCACTTGGCGCAGTGCCCTCCTGGTTTGTCCACGTCGTAGCCTATGTCAGAATTTCATTCCTTTTTCAGGGCAAGTAATACTCCACTGTATGCATATAGCACAATTGATCCACTCATCTGTCAATGGACCCTTGAATGGCTTTCACCTTTTGGCTGTTATGAATAATGTTGCTCTGAACATGGGTGTACAAGTACCTGTTTGAGTCACTGTTTCAATTCTTTGGAGTATATTCCCAGAAATGGAATTGGTGGATCATAAAGTCACTATTTGTAATGTTTTATTTTTAGGAGCCCATCCTGCACTTCCTAACTCAGCTATTCCACAGAAGGGGTTAGCCTGGGTCTGCATCCCAGCCCTACCATTTATTAGGAGGTCACTTTGCCTCTCATGCCTCAGTTTCCTCATCTGTCAAAGAGAACTCACCTCTAAGTGATGCTGTAAGCACAGCTATAAATGAGGCAAAATAAAGCCATACAGCCTGATTGTGGAGGAGTTCATGTGGTGTGACTCCGCGGACCTCGCCCATCACACTTGAACTTGTAACTAATCACATGGCTGGAGAGTGTTTAACAGGGACCTGATCCTGAGGACTATAGCGATTGTGGTTTTGTTTTTGTCTTTTTTAAATTCGTAAGACGGGATCTCGCTCTGTTGCCCAGGCTGGAGTGCAGTGGTGTGATCATGGCTCACTGCAGTCTCAAACTCCAGGCTCAAGAGATCCTCCTACCTTAGCCTGCTGAGTAGCTGGGACTAGAGGCATGAACACCACACCTGGCTAATTAAATATATATTTGTAGAGACCAGGTCTCCCTATGCTGCTCAGGCTGGTCTCAAACTCATGAGCTCAAATGATCCTCCCTCTTCAGCCTCCAGAGTAGCTGGGACCAGAGGCATGCATCCCATGTCCATCTAATTTTTTTAGAAAAATTATCTGTAGGCTGGCTGTGGTGGCTCACGCCTGTAATCCCAGCACTTTGGGAGGCTGAGGTGGGTGGATCACAAGGTCAAGAGTTTGAGACCAGCCTGACCAACATGGTGAAACCCCGTTTCTACTAAAAATGCAAAAGCAGGTGGATAACAAGGTCAAGAGTTTGAGACCAGCCTGACCAATATGGTGAAACCCTGTCTCTACTAAAAATGCAAAAATGAGCTGGGCATGGTGGTGCACGCCTATAATCCCAGCTACTCAGGAGGCTGAGGCAGGAGAATTGCTTGAACCCAGGAGGCGGAGGTTGCAGTGAGCCAAGATCACACCATTGCACTCCAGCCTGGGTGACAAAATGAGACTCCATCTTAAAAAAAAAATTATTTGTAGAGATAAGGTCTCCCTATGTTGCCCAGGTTGGTCTTGAACTCCTGGGCTCAAGTGATCTTCCCCCTTCAGCCTCCCAGTGCTGGGATTACAGGTGTGAGCCACCTTGCCCAGTGTGTTCTTAAATGCGATGTCAGAGTTACCCAAGAGAGGATTCACATGCTGCTCACATCGAATGGCATTGAGTCAGGGGGGACTGTGAATCTTTTTTCAATTCTTACCCACCTCTCCTGAATACCCTACCAGCAAACTCTCAGGTCAATGCAAACAAATCTTCAGCAGCACTCCCCTACTGAACTTCCTTTTCCAAAAAGCAGAATCCTGCCCCCAGAACTGGCATCTCCAGCAGGTAACAGGAGTGCCCGGCTAGCACTGAATGCCATTGTTTTTGTTTCACTGATTTCTTCGCATTGTTGCTGTCTCCTCATGGCAAGTGACAGCAAGATTTCCACTTATGGCCATGATGCAAAATTACTTTTAAAATAAAATGTGCTTACATAAAAATAAAGGCGAGTCTATTGCAGTAAAAATACTACAAGAATAATATGGCAGGTGGAATGTGGATATGGCAGAATTGTGAAGGCTGGAGGGATGCGAAGGAAGCTTGGGGAATGTTAATTAGGCTCCATGAGCTTTGCTTCCAAACTAGGATGTGCTGAGTTTGTTAAACAAATGAGAGGAGGTAAAGGCAAAGGGCAGGGGGATACTCAAGCAGCCCCATCCATCCTGCAAGGACCCAAAGGTCCAGACAATGTTTTGATCTTTCTGGATGAGGGCTCCCACTTGCTTTAGGGGCCCAGGAGGGTTTGTCAGGAGTCTCCTGGGGTGGGCTTTTGGGACAGCACCTCCCTGCTAGAGAGACAGAAGTCTGTGGAGAAACACTGTCCTTTTGATTCTTACTCTAATTTGTTGAGTACTTAACATTCATGTGGTTCTTTCACTCATGAGGCTTTTACCTCTTGTAACAATGCTGCAAATGAAAATTATCCCCATTTATAGATAATCATCCCAGGCTCAGAGAGGGTGAGGAACTTGCCCAAGGTCACAGAGCCAAGAGGTGGAGAAGAAATTAGGATACGCACTGTTCTGACGTCAAATACCATGCTCTATGACCAGGCTTTGGCTAGCAAGAATCTGGCATCCTCATCTTCACTCAGGCTCCCATGCTAAGCTTGATGGGAACCAAAGCCTCATGTTCTCAGAATGGCTTCAAAACTATCGTCTCCCCTAGAGCAAGATTTCTCAACCTTGGCACTATTGATATTTGAGGCCAGATAATTCCTTGTTGTGGAGGGGACTGTCCTGCGCACTGTAGGATGTTTAGCAGCATCGCTGGATCTACCCACTAGGTGCCAGTAGCACTCACCTAGTTGTGACAAAACCTAAAATGTCTCCATTCATTGATGTGTGTCCCCCTGGTGGGGGATAGGGCGTGGAGAGGCAAAATTTGCTCCCAGTTGAGAACCACTGTTCTAGGACAAGCTCTCTAGATGTGGTCTCTGATGAGCAGCATCAGCAACACCTGGGAATTTGTTAGCAATGTAAGTTTCAGCCCCAACCCCAAACCTTCTGAATCAGAAACTCTGGGTGTGGGAGACAAGGACTCTGTGTTGTAAGAAGCTCTCCAGGTGATTGTGATACAGGCTCATGTTTGCCTAGGCCAGTGGTTCTTAACCCTGGCTGCACATTTAAAATCATCTGAACATCTTTTTTTTAGAAAAACATCTTCATGCCTCGGCCCCACCCCAATAAATTCTAACTTAATTAGTTTGGTGGGCGCAAGTATTGGGACTCTTTTGAAACTCCCCCTGTGATTCTGACATGCAGTCAGGGTTGAGAACCACATTTTGGACACCTTTTCTTTTCTTTTCAACCATCTTTTAAAAAACGCATCTCTCGAGGTGGAAAGAATTTTACCCAAACATATCTTTGGCTGTTGCCTCAAATGCTCATGGCCACTCACTCCACCAGAGACTGAAGGCTACCTCATTCATTATTTTTCTCCCACTCTGAGAAAATGTCTCCCTCCACCCCCGACCAAGCACTCAGGACATTTTCCTGCTCACTGACTTCCCCCGACCCCATTCAAGTCTGGAGTTATTAAAGAACAGCCCATGACTGAACCGTCTTATTGATTTTATTGTTCAGAGCCCTGGGATATTCTAATGATATACTGCTCAATAAATGGAAACTGGTGGGATAGATATTGACGGTGTATGGTACATTTCACTGCAATTCACTGGGTCCCAGTCACTTGGCCTGTAACATATCATCTGTGAAAACGCTGCGCTGTGGCCTGCAAGCTCTTATCCATCCTGCTGATGTTACCTTTTCTGTGCATCAAGGATGAAAGAGCTATTATGATAATAGCAATGTGGCCACTGTGTGCCAGGTCCTGGGCTGAGCATTTTCTAACAGACTTGATATGGTTTGGATCTGTGTCCCCAACCAAATCTCATGTTGAATGGTAACCCACAGTGTTGGAGGTGGGACCTGGTGGGAGGTGACTGGATCATGGGGGTGGATCCTTCATGAATGGTTTAGCACCATTCCTTTGATGCTGTTCTCTAGAGATCTGCGTGTTTAAAAGTGTGTGGCACCTCCCCTGTCTTGCTCTTGTTCCGGCCCTGTAAGACATACCTACATCCCCCTTTACCTTCCACCACAATTGTAAGTTTCCTGGGGCCTCCTCAGAAGCAGAAGCCTTGATGTTTCCTGTACAGCTCACAGAACTGAGAGCCAATTAAAACTCCTTTCTTTATAAATTATCCACTCAGGTATTTCTTTATAGCAATGGGAGAATGAACCAATACAAGACCTTACCTCATTTACTCCTCACAGCAGACCTTTGAGGGAGGCATTCTGACTATTCCCATTTTACAGATAAGGAAATAAAGACTCTGAGTAGTTACCTGACCTGGTCAGCTAATATGCTGCAGAACTGGGATTCAACCCTCCATCTGTCAGACACTAAAATGGGGACTTTTAACCCCTGAGCTTCTATTGTATTGGAACAACCTTTCTTTTCTTTTCTTTTTTTTTTGAGACTGAGTCTCGCACTGTCGCCCAGGCTGGAGTGCAGTAGTGAGGTCTCTGCTCACTGCAACCTCCGCCTCCTGGGTTCAAGCGATTCTCCTGTCTCAGCCTCCCGAGTACCTGGGATTACAGGTGCCCACCCCCATGCCCGGCTAATTTTTTGTATTTTTAGTAGAGACAGTTTTCACTATGTTGGCCAGGCTGGTCTTGAACCCCTGACCTTGTGATTCGCCCGCCTCAGCCTCCCAAAGTGCTGGGATTACAGGCATGATCTGCCGCACCTAGCCATTTGAGCAACCTTTCAGAGGGTTTCAGCACAGATCAATATTTCACAGATCCTCCTCCCTTCTCAAGCAGTATTTCTCAACAGGGACTACTGTCACTTGGGAAGAGACAATTCTTTGAGTGGTATTATCCCATGATTACAGGGCATTTGAAATCCCTAGTCCCCATAACAGCCTCTCCTCACTTGCATTTCCCAGTGCCCCCTAGGGGACCAGCATGGTTTGAGAACCACTCATCTCCCTGGGAGGCAGAAGGCTTCCTGCCAAGATGGCCTCCCACTTTTTGGCAAACACAGGTAGCCACTCTGGAAAGGCTACATAGCAGAGTGGAAAGAAGTTTCGTTTTGAAATCGGACAGATCTGCATTCAAACCATGGCTCTTCCCCCATTAACTCTGGGAGGTCGGGCAAGCTATATAACCTCTCAAAGATTCTAGCTCATCATCAGTAAAATAGGGATACATATTGACCCTCCTTCATAGGGAGGAACTGATGGATGGAATTATGCTCAGAGAAGTGCCTAGTACAGAGCAGTAGCTCTGAACCTGGGGCATTATGTCTTTCCCCTGTCTCCTATGTGCTCTTTCCAAACTCCTGATCCATAGAATCCAAGAGCATAACAAGTGATGGTGTTTTACGCCACTAAGTTTGGGGGGGTTTGCTACCCAGCAGAAGTAACTGGAACGAATGTCTATGATATGCCAGGCAGGCACCATTCTGGGAGTGAAAAATAGACTCATGCACACGCCACAAGAGCTTTTGCTTATGAGAAGCAGCCTCTCCTGAGAAAGAAGACAGATAATAAACACATAAATATCTCCAGGACCAGTATGTGGTATGCAGAAAATGAAATGGTGGCCATCATTATTGTTGCCTTAAATAATGATTTGCAAATGACTACATTTTCTCTTCTCCTCTTTCCAACCTCATTTCCCTCTATGCTCCTCCAATCACCCTTTCTGTGAAGCCAAAATGTTGTTTAATCTCACGAAACCTCTGCTTCTGTTTCTCGATGCTGAGGTATCCTTTCCTTTTCCAAAGACAGGATTTGCTAGGACTGAATCGTGTCCCCCGAAAATTAATATGTTGAAGGCCTAGCCTCTCCTGTGACCGTATTGGAGATGTGGCCTTTAAGGAGGTGATTAAAGTTAAATGAAGTTGGGCCGAGTGTGGCGGCTCATGCCTGTAATCCCAGCACTTTGGGAGGCCGAAGTGGGTGGGTCACTTGAAGTCAGGAGTTGAAGACCAGCCTGGCCAATATGGTAAAAACTTGTCTCTATTAAAAATACAAAAATTAGCCAGGCATGGTGGTAGGCACCTGTAATCCCAGCTACTCAGGAGGCTGAGGCAGGAGAATCACTTGAACCCAGGAGGCAGACGTTGCACCACTGCACTCCAGCACGGGTGGCAAAACAAGACTGCCTCTGAAATAAACAAACAAACAAAAAGGTTAAATGAAGTCCTAAGGGTGGAGCCTTGAATTTAGGGGATTTTTGCTCTTAGAAGAGACACTGGAGAGCTTGCTATTTCTCTGCCACATGAGGTCACAGTGAGAAGTCGGCCATCTGCAAGCCAGGAAGAGGGCCCTCACTAGAACCCAACCATGCTGGCACCCTGATCTCAGATTCATAGCTTCCAAAATGGAGACAAATATTTGTTTTTTAAGCCACCTGGTCTATGGTAATTTTTTTTAAATGATAGCCCAGGCAGACTAATATACAACTCAAGGAGGCCAGGGATGTGCCCCTTAGACTACAATTGACAGGTTGAGTGAGGAGTTAACTAGGTAAGAGAAGAGGGAAAAGTGTCCCTAAGTGGAGGGAACAGCATATGCAAAGGGCCTGTCACGAATGATAGTATGGTAAGGAGAAGACATACAGGAAGGCCAGTGTGGCTGGAACTGAGGCCAAGAGGAAGTGCAGAAGATGAGGATGGGCCGACAGCAGAGGCATCACACAGGGTCTTGGGTACCACCTTAAGGACTGCAATTGAAGAGAGTAACAAGCCCTTTCATCAGGCTTGTTATCCATGGTTGAGGAGTGGGTGGCAGGCAGGACACATTTTGAAATTCCCAGATGGGGTGGTGTGGGATGCCTTGCTTCATGGGGTGGAAAGACAGGCAGGGGCCCCCATATCCTGCACTCTGTGCTTCGTGTGTCCAGAAAGCCTGCTCTATCTGTACTCCCTGCCCTCTTGACCCAGAGGCTGCTGTGTGCAAGTTCTCCTACGAGCCTTCCTGTCGCTTGACATTTTCATCTCTGCCCTCGTTTCTCCTCTCTTGAAGGGACTCGCAGGCTCAATAAATACTGCCATGGAAAAACGCAGCGACTCATCTATTTTTATTACAAATGGAGCCTCTCGAGGAGGGAACAACTCTTATTTACTTCTCAGAGGGAGGGTTTTGACAACAGGTTTATTTTCTCCAACTCTCCAAGGATTAAGTGAGTAACACTCTAAAGTTAACAGTACATTAATTAATGCCAAATTGGTTGGAATTTTCCTAATAAAAATCCTCATAGTAATCACATTATGGGCCATTAACGCTGCCTCCTGATCATAAACCATAAATATGTTCTGCAGGTGCCTTCTTTTAAAAAAGGGACATTTCTCCAAATCGTTTCCCATTTGTCACATTAATGCTGTCACGTCACATAATGCAGACAGGAATAATTATAAAAGCTCATGTGGGTAGGATTTACTTTGCGCTGGTCACTCGGCCAAGCCCTGTACACATATCATCTCATTGAGTTCTTGCAGCAAACCTATGAGGTCCTGCTATCATTCTCATTTTACACATGGGGAAACTGAGGCAGACAGAAAGAGTGTAATCTGCCCATGATCAAATGCTAGCAAGTAATGGAGCTAGGATGTGAGTCCAAGCAAACTGATTCCAGGATACTCTGTCATCCTGCCTCTTGAAATATAAGGACTACATCTCTAAGCACAGTGGTCCTCTTCGTCAAGCCTACTGCTAATGAAATCTCCGGTTGATCACAACAGCAACGAGCAGCAATAGTCAACACAACATTTGGTTTTGCTCCTAGAGGGCAGGGATGGTGTTTCATTTACTTGGCCTAGGAGAGTGTCTGGTGACAATGCCAGGAGCACTTGGAACATACAGTAAATTCCTGTTGAATAAATGGACATAGAAACACACATGCAACAGGGTTCACAACAGTGGGTAACAACGAGCACCTCAAATGCACTGGGATCTCAATAGATCCCTCTCCCTGCAATGATGTGAGCTGGGCTCAGCCTCAGGCCGGGGCTCTGATACACAGACAAGGAGACCACACCACTTGGGGAGCTGCAGTTCCTGGGAGAAAACCAAGGAGGACCTCGTTTCGAACTCTGTTCTAGCTTCACTTCTTAGGTGCTTCTGATTGTTTCTTGGATTTCTCTGTCTACAAAGATAATACTTACTGTAGAAAATTCAAGCATACAGAACAATATGAAGTAAAAAAAAACCCAGATATTAGTGCCAAAATATCACCATTGTTAACAAACGTTCAGTGAACATTTTGCAAATAGTTTTATGCACTCACGTTATATATAATCATGTATGTTCTGCTTTGTCATATGCATTCTGTTTTCAGTAATGTACTCCTGACATCTTTTCACTGTCAGTGAATACAGGCATTCTCTCTTTCCTTCCTCCCACCCTCCTCCTTCCCTTCTCAAATGTTCACAGAGCAGCTACGCTGCCAGGCACTGAGAATGCCCAAATGAACAAAACCAGTGTTGAATCTGTATTCAAGGAGCTGACAGTCCAGTGGATGTTGGATGGAGAAAACAGATCAACGTATTTTACAAAAGGTGTTGGATGCAATGAATGAAAAGTACGGGCGGCCAGGGGAGGAGAGAGATGGGGCCAGGTGATCTGATGCAAACCAGGTCTATAGACCTTTCCAAAGAAGCCACGGTGAAGCTGAGCTGTGAAACATAAAGAGTGAGCCAGGTGAAAGGATGTCACTTTGGAAGGAAGGAAGACCATGTGTCAAGGTCTCAAGGCAGGGAGGGTCTTATTTTGAATAATAATAATAATAAAAAAAAAAAAAGACAAAAAACGTTGGGGGTCCAGGCGCAGCGGTTCACGCCTGTAATCCCAGCACTTTGAGAGGTGGATCACAAGGTCAGGTGTTCGAGACCAGCCTGGCCAACATGGTGAAACCTCATCTCTACTAAAAATACAAAAATTAGCCAGGCATGGTGGTGCGCGCCTGTAGTTTCAGCTACTCGGGAGGCTGAGGCAGGAGAACTGCTTGAACCCAGGGGGTGGAGGTTGCAGTGAGCCAAAATCACACCACTGCGCTCCAGCCTAGTGACAGAGTGAGGCTTCCTCTCAAGAAAAGGCAAAACACCAAAAAAACAAACAACAACAACAAGAACAACAAAACAAAGCGAAAAAGCAAACTCAGGGGTGGGGAGAGGGGAGTAGTGCGGACTTTTGTTTTTTTTTTTACTTTCCTTTGGTGCTTTTCTGTATTTTTAAGACTTCTGTAGGGTAATGACAAGAACTTACTGAGTAAGTAATTCAGGGCCACTGGGTATTTTTTCTTAGATGCCTCCAAAGATGGAAGGCTCAGTGCCTTACATAGCAGGGCTTGTGCTCAGCAGTGATTGTGAGCTATCGCTTCCAAAATGTGCCTGCTCGAAGCTTTCATCCATAGGTCCTAATTTGGTCTTCAAAGATAGTGCTGCTGCTTCTCTGGCAAACCAACCTCTCAAATATGTGGAAATTGTTATTTTGCTATTACTCCGGCCCCCATCTCCCTCCAAATCTAAGCCACCTGCATATTCCAAGCTCATTCAATTTCTCTCCTACAACATGTAAGGTCTCTTTGTCATGTTTCTTCCTGGGAGTGACTAGAAGATCCTCCACGGGCACAGCCTGAGATCACTGTAAAAACTTTGAAATACCTCCCAAGCATGTGCCAGCACAAAGTCATTTGTTCATTTGATGAATAATTATAAATGCCTGTGAGTGTGCTATACCCTGGGGCAGTGGCAGGGGGCAGGGTGTGAGGTGGAGGGGGAAGACAGCAGTGGACAGGATGGACTTATCACTTATTTGAGAAATAATTATCGGCAGGGCATGGTGGCTCATGCCTGTAATCCCAGCACTTTTGGAGGCCAAGGTGGGTGGATCACCTGAGGTCAAGAGTTCAAGACCATCCTGGCCAACATGGTAAAACCCTGTATCTACTAAAAATACAAAAATTAGCTGGGCGTGGTGGCACATGCCTATAATCCCAGCTACTGAGGAGGCTGAGGCACAAGAATTGCTTGAACCAGGAGGTGGAGGCTGCAGTGTGCTGAGGTCGTGCCACTGTGCTCCAGCCTGGGCGACTAAGCAAGACTTTGTCTCAAAAAAAAAAAAAAAAAAAAAGAAAAAGAAAAAAAAAGAGAAATAATTATCAAATGCCTGCTACTGGGTGACACACTGCAGGGCTGCACACTGGACCAGATGGACATGATAGGCGAATCTCTAAATAAATGTGAAATGAATGAACGCTACATCTTGTCTTTTACCATTACAGCATCATTGAGGGGATAACCATTATGCTGTCTTGGTGCTTGTATTAATCGAGTCAAGTTCCCTAACATTGGTTTGAGAGCTCCAGGCAGGTCACTCTTCGACCTACCTGGAAGACCAGAGAGACCCTGATTTCTCAACGATGGCTTGGAAACTTCATTTAAGCCAGGGGGCTCCTGAGAATACTTTTCTTTTCTTTCTTTCTCTTTTTGAGATGGAGTCTCACTCTGTCACCCAGGCTGGAGTGCAGTGGTGCGATCTTGGCTCACTGCAACCTCTGCCTCTGGGTTCAAGTGATTCTCCTGTGCAGTGGCTCACGCCTGTAATTCCAGCATTTTGGGAGGCCGAGGCGGGTGGATCATTTGAGGTCAGGAGTTCGAGACCAGCCTGATCAACATGGTGAAACTCCGTCTCTACTAGAAATACAAAAAAATTAGCAGGGCGTGGTGGTGCATGCCTGTAGTCCCAGCTACTTGGGAGGCTGAGGCAGGAGAATAAACTTTTCTAAATAAGAACCTCTCTGAATGAACTGACAGAGGAAGCTCATTTTAAACATGAGCTGGCCCCTAGACCAGAGAACTGCAGGGGAAAGTGGGTGGGTCCTAGGATTTTTTGACAGGATGCAGTTAAGATAAGCCTTTAAGGAGACAGAACGTGTGCTACCACAGCTTGGGAAGGCCACTGACAGTGAAAACAATTTAAATTAAATTAAATTTAGTCAGCTCCAAAAGGAAACACATGTAATGTTAATTTCATGGGTGTACCAATGTGTAAACCTAACAGATGATACTTAAATGAGAAAGGCAGAGAAATGACATTTGGTTAAACAATGCATCAGTGGGTAGGATTTGTTGAAACTGCCATTTAAAAAAAAAATATGAGCACAATTGAAATCTGAGCAAGCTGTCACCCAGGCCAGGCCACCTAGGCGTTCTCATATAACACACTTGAGAGAAGCAGTGGGTAGCCGGGATTGGAGGCAGTCTGGATAAATTTGGGGAACTCAGGTCAATGTCTGTGTTAACTTTTTGTTTTTGTTTTTGAGACGTAGTCCCACTCTGTCCCCCAGGCTGGAGTGCAATGCCGCAATCTCGGCTCACTGCAACCCCTGCCTCCTGGGTTCAAGCGATTCTCCTGCCTCAGCCTCCCGAGTAGCTGGGATTACAGGTGTGTGCCACCACACTCGGCTACTTTTTATATCTTTAGTAGAGATGGGATTTCACCATGTTGGCCAGGCTGGTCTCAAACTCCTGATCTCAGGTGAGTCACCCGCCTCGGCCTCTCAAAGTGTTGGGATAACAGGTGTGAGCCACCACGTTCGGCCTGTGTTAACTTCTGATGCTCTTCCTGGGCTTGTTTGCCTGGGCAGATAAAATCATTTGCTTGTCTCTCCAACTATGACTGAGATCTCACCCTGGGCAGAAAGTGCGCCTTTGCTTGTTTATGTCCTTTTCTTAAAAGCAACAGATTGTGTAGTATTGGAGGTACATGAAAATGTGGAAAGATTGGCTTTCTGTTTTATCTCTGTCCCTTGGCACAAAATAGGCACTAGGGCAATAAATGCAGAATGAGTGAGTGATCCAGACACTCCTTGGCCATGTTTTCCACCCTTACGGCTTCATGGTGGCAACAACATTTCCTTGCCTCTTGTTAATAATCATCACCTCCTAACATATTGTTTGGGGTCCTCGTCCCTCTCCGGCAGCCATCACTCCTTTTCAATATTCACAGAACCATGTCCTATAGTCAATAAAGCTACGGGAAGCTGACTGATTGGCAAAAAACAGGTCTCTACTAAAAATGCTAACCCCAGAAACAATGCATACACACTGACCCTGCCAGAAATATATTGACAAAAGCCAGCATTTTTTTAAGCACTTACTATATGCCGGGCATGGTATCAAGAGTGTTTTCGGTTGGTTGGTTGGTTGGTGGCAATTTTTCCAGTTCATCGTCTCAAAACACTGAGACAGATGCCATCATTATCCCACTTTTGCCAAGGAAGAACAGGTTGAGACTCAAGAGGTTATATAGCATAACCAAGATCACACAGCTAGTGGCCAAGCTGGGATCTGAACCCAGACTAACCTGCTTCCAAAGCCATTACTCCAACCTGCCTTAAATGTATTAAGAATATGTTTTAAGCAGAGTGTGGTGGGGTGCACCTGTAGTCCCAGCTCTTCGGGAGGCTGAGGCAGGAGGATCGCTTGAGCCTGGGAGGTTAAGGCTGCAGTGAGCTATGATCACGCCACTGTACTCTAACCTGGGCAACAGAGTGAGACCTTGTCTCCAAGAAAAAATAAAAAGAACAGGTTTCAGATGACTTATAAGAGAGGAAGTTGACAGTTCCTTTGTGCTTTACATAGAGCACTAAAATCCAGTATGAGCCAGGGCAATGCTGGGCTCAACACATGGATCCCAAAATCGCAGTGGCTTGAACCCAACAAAGGCTTATTTCCTGCTCCTATGCAGCTTGAGCAGCTCTCCTACAGGGCCGTCCTCCAAGAGGTGACTTGAGGATCCAAATTGCTTCAACTACACAATCCCACTCCTTAGCACCCTTCTCTTGCAGTGCACAGAGAGGACAGCGATTGGCATGACAAATTCACAGCCCGTCAACTGGCTTGGCCAAGAAGTAACCATCATTTCCACTCACGTTCCTCTGAGGGAGACTGAATCCTAGGACCCGACCCAGATACCTGGGAGTTAGTAATGGAGAGAAGAACATGGGTCCTAGAGGAACATTTATATTTTATGTCACAGAAACATACTAAGTTATGCCCTAAGCCAGCACTTCTTGACCAGGGACAATTTTGTCTCCCTGAGGACATCTAGCAATGTCTGGAGACATTTTTATTTGTCACAACTGGAAGAAAGAATGCTACTGGCACCTAGGAGGTAGAAGCCAGGGATACCGCTAAACGTCCCACCATGTACGGGACGGCCCCCACAGAAGGGATTATCTGGTTCAAAATGTCAAATGCCAAGGTTGAGAAACTGCTTGAAACCCGTGATCCTGAAAAAGATTGTCTGAGGAGCTTATTAAAATGCAGAATCTAGACCGGGCGCAGTGGCTTACGCCTGTAATCCCAGCACTTTGGGAGGTGGAGGCGGGTGGATCACTTGACGTCACGAGTTCAAGATCAGCCTGGCCAAAATGACGAAACCCCATCTCTACTAAAAATATAAAAATTAGATGGGCACAGTGGTGTACACCCATAATCCCAGCTACTTGGGAGGCTGAGGCATGAGAATCAATTGAACCCGGGAGGCAGAGATTGCAGCGAGCCGGGATCGTGCCACAGCACTCCAGCCTGGGTGACAGAGCAAAACTCTGTCTCAAAAAAAAAAAAAAAAAAAAAAGAATCCTGCATTCCTCCCTCCAGATCACCACCCTGGCAGTATTTCAGTATTTTCAGGGGCCCTCTGGCAACTGTGACGGCCGCTCTTCGTGAACCACACTCAGGGAAACCTCACAGGAAAGAGGAATCAAGAACACCAAGCGGGGGCTGGGACTAGGCGCTGATGAACTCACACAGAGACACCCCTCAAATGCTTCAGGGTCAGTGTGAGGCAACTGCGCCAGGAAAAAAAAAAAAAAAAGAAAGGCTGACATTTGTTAAGTGCCTCTCTCTGTCTCTTTCGTGCAAGCCTTGAATTGCAGGGAACATATTCTAAGACTAACCTGTCAGCCAGTAACAACTAAATTACTAACCTTGCCTCCCGCTGTGCCCCGTATCCCTGTCAGATGCACAGTCGCACTCACAGAGGAATGCTTCCTGGAGATGTGTTCCCAGCATTGGGGAAGCTGACCCTTTTGCAGGAACAGAGCCACGTGGTCACATGTATTTCACAGGGGCCAGGGGGCTGGAAATAACCCAAAGGAAAGGGAAGCAACTCTGGGCAGAGCAGTAGGGCAATCAGAGTGGTTGAGGCTCTTGGTCAAAACCACGTCTGCTTTATTCATGGCACTCACTACAACCTACTTCACATCGTTTGCAGTCAGGTCTTGCCAAGAGGCTGTGCTTTAGCCAATAAAATAGAAATGTGATGCACACAACTTCTAGGCTTACCCATGGACACCTGTGCATGCTTCTCTGTGCTATTTCCCTCTTCACTGTCTGGGTGCAGAAGAGCACGGTGACCTTGGATGCTGTGTGTTGAAGATAGTGGAGATAGTGGAGTCAGATGGAAAGGGCCTGGATCCCTGAATTACAACATGGAGGGGAGTCAATCAGGAACATCTATTTTGGATGGCAGAGGATGAAGACATCAACCATCTTCATGTTAGAGACATTATACACTGGTGGCTGTGTTCCAATAAAATTTGACTTACAAAACAGGTGGTGGGCTGGATTCAGCCCACTGGCTACAGTTTACCCATCTCTGGTTGAAGAGAAGCTCTATCTACCAAATAAAGTACTAGTCTTCCAGAAAGAGTTATCTGATTAGACAGTTTGCCCTGTGTGACCTCAACGCAAACAAACATTGCTACGTTTGATTGTTATAGCAGCTGATGTTCCCTAACTAATATAGTGATTCTATACCTGGTTACTGAAGGCAGAAAGGCTTGGGTTCAAATTCTAGGACCAGACCTCGCTAGCTCTGTTATCTAGAGAAGCTACCAGAACCTTTGAGCTTCAATTTCCCAAAGTGGAAAATGGAAAGGAAATACTGAAGAAGGTAACCTGACATATTTTAATTGAAGGCTGTGGTATATTGGTCATCTAGGAGCTGTTGTACAGATGTTCTGATTGTTGACCACATTCTATCAGCGACAAGACGGACAGGAGGAAAAGCAAGGCATTGAGATGGGTGAAGGTGAACCATTTACAAAGCCTAAACTTTCCATACATTTCTTACATGAACAAATGAATGACCCAACGAACACTTTTAGCAGCATCTGCCTTCTATGAAGACCAGGCACGTGCATGCCTAATCACCCTTTGGGGGCAAGAGCCATCTGTGATTTGGCTTGTTTTCTTTCACAGTCTTATTTCGCAGTCTTATCAGTGTATCTGTGCAAAAGATTACTCAGTGTACGTGCACTTGTTAGCAGATGCAGGGAAGCTATCACAATTTAGAAAGCACGTGCTTTATACTTTCAAGTCAGGCTTCCCTCTGCGTCCTGGCTCTGTCACTTATTTGATCTGTGGTCTTGGGCAAATGGCTTCATGAACTCTTGAAGCCTCCTCAGCTTCCAAATCTGCAAAAGGGGTATGCCAGAGACAGCTAACCATCCATCAACATCCATTTTCCCCTCTGTTATACACAATTACAAATGAGAATGTGACACTTATCAACATTTCTTCAACACTTCTCAGCCTCTCTTGTAGCGAGGTGCATGAGGCTCTCCCTAGATTTTAAGACAGGAATCTTAAATATTTTATTTTCTATAAGAGGACAGACAGTAAACACTTTGGGCTTTGTGGGCCATATGGTTCTCTGTTGCAACTTCTCAACTCTGCCACTGTAGAGAGAAGGCAGCCACAGACAAGACCAAAACAAATGAGTGTGGCTGTGTTCCAATAAAACTTAACTTACGCAACAGGTGGTGGGCCGGATTTGGCTTGTGGGCTATCATTTGCCAGTCCCTGGTTTAACAGATGCTCAGCCTACCAAATATAGTATTAGTCTTCCAGGAAGAGTCATCTGATTAGACATTTTGTCCTGTGTGACCTCGTAAGCCACCAATTCTTATTTTACACACACACACACACACACACACACTCTCTCTCTCTCTATTTATAATTGGTCTGTGTCTCTGAAATTCTCATCATGTTCTGAAACGTCAACTGTTTCCTGATCTTTAATCCCAGTCTCCATGGGCCATGTCCCTCTCCCTTTCCTCCTCCTTTTTAGGACCAACTCCATAATTTGCAGGGCTCACTACAGATGAAAATGCAAGGCCCCTTGTTCAAAAAATATTAAGAGTGTCAAGACGGTGAAAGCAAAGCATAAAATCTAACATGGGGCTTTCTGAGCATGAGCTCAGGTTACAAAGTCCACCAAGCAGACCCTGCTGGTCTGGCTTGTATTACCATCAGCAAACCCAGAAAGTTTTCTGCCTAATTTCTTGACAAGTCCAGAAACTTGCCACCTGCGAGCTGCTTGAAGCGTTTCAGGAATGGTTTTGCACATCACAAGAAGAAGGAGGAAAAAAAAAAAACCCAATTTTCTTTTAGTATATTACTTGTTAGACAGCGAAATGGAATATAATTATGGTGTGACATTTCCAACAGCAAATATGTTCCAGTGTAAGCAATTAACACCGGTTCTTTTGGCAGGCTTAAAAAGATTACTCAGAGACTGTGGTAAGTTACAATGCCCCATGAATCATAAATAATGTAGAATCGCAGCTAAGTTGCATTCTACGACCAAAGTTCAAATTT
Source organism: Homo sapiens (assembly GCF_000001405.40). Taxonomy (NCBI): domain Eukaryota; kingdom Metazoa; phylum Chordata; class Mammalia; order Primates; family Hominidae; genus Homo; species Homo sapiens. Next base: position 227,102 of record NW_019805500.1, read on the forward strand.
CTTGATGAAAATAAATTGGGTGCTTTTAACCCTCTGTTGACTTCATGTGGCTTAAGCAGATTCGGATCATAAGTTCTTTGGATTTTTGTAAATTACATATTTACCTTACCCCTAAGAACATCTGCAAAAAATTATAAAAAAAAATCTGCATGTATTCATTTCAGCTGCTGGAAATTTGCATGAGGTAGTGGGTTTGAAGGGGACCCCTCCAGGATGGACAGAATGGGGGAGACGGCTTACACTGAGAACTATTATCCTTGGAGGCTGTTATGGTTAAATGATGAAGTCCCAAGATTTAGTAGAAGGCATATCTGGACCTATGTCCCTATTCTCTCTGCCATTCTTGACACAACCAAAGGGAAGGCAGCACCTTCTGAATGTATTTGTGCAGCTTGTGACTCTGAGCAACTGAAACCAATGAAACACCAGCAGCAGTTACAGAGCCACATACCGTAGGGACATTCAAGGCCACCGTTACATTCAAAGCCTCAGGGCCGTAGTACCCTTGTACTATAGCACTACTAGCACTATGGGCTGGATAACTCTCTATTGGAGGTGACAGCAAGCTGTCCTGTGCATTGTGCAGTGCCCAGGAGCATCTCTGGACTCGATCCACTAAATGCCAGGAGCATCCTTTCTTTAGTTGTGACCATTAAAAATGTTTCCAGCAGGCACAGTGGCTCACACCTGTAATCCCAGCACTTTGGGAGGCTGAGGCGGGCAGATCACCTGAGGTCAGGTGTTTGAGACAAGCCTGGCCAACGTGGCGAAACCCTGTCTCTACTAAAATACAAAAATTAGCCAGGTGTGGTGGTGGTGGTAGTGCCAGCTACTCAGGAGGCTGAGGTGGGAGGATGGCTTGAGCCCAGGAGGCAGAGATTGCAGTGAGCCGAGATCACACCACTGTACTCCAGCCTGGATGACAGAGTGAAACCCTGTCTCAAAAAATAAAAACGAAGTTTCCAGATATTGCCAAATGTCCCTGGAAAAAAAAATACTACTTTAGATAGACCTGGGTCCATCACTGTGTGGCCTTGAGCAAATGACTTCATTGCTTTGAGCCTCAGTTTCCACATGTGCAAAAAAACTCCCATGCCTACCTTACAGAGAGATTGTGAGGCTGGGATACAATGATGCAGATAGAGCGCTTAGCCTGGTGTCTGGCATAAAGCAAGCATTCAGTAAGACAGATGCTATTTATTCCATCACCCATTTGATTGTTTACAAACAGCTCCTGAGCACAGTGGAGCCATGGCAGGTACCAGGGGTGTGAAGACGCATAAGCCTTATCTCTGTCTCAGACATGCTAACCAACAACGTCAGTGCAAGGGGGTGCTCCCTAAAATGAACACCTGGTCATGGGGCAATGGGGGCTTGGAGAAAAATACCTAAATCTCGAGACTTCATGGACAGGATGGCACCTGAGTAAAGTAAAAGTTTTCCAGGCAGACACACTTGGGGAAGGGCATTCCACACAGAGGCAACTGCATGTGCAAAGGTATGGTGGTATGAGTCACTCAGAACTCCCCTGAGCTCAGGACGGCTGGGAGGTGAATTCTACAATGCAGGTAAGGGAGGAGGAGCAGCAGGAACAAGGCTGGCAGGCAGAGGGCAGATGAGGAAGGATCCTGAGATGTCAAATAGTTCTCATCTCTCTTGTCAACCCAATGAACTCATAGCAAAGCTGAGTCCAAATCCTGCCTTGCAGGACGCAATGCAGTGATTGATTAGCAATGTCTGCTTTGGCCCAGGAAGGTAGAAGAGGCTCAAGCTGCAATGTATTTCCTTGTTTGATGAGGGTTTTCATCAGGGGAGTGATGTGAGGAGAAGCACATTTTTTAAAGCTCACTCTGGAAGCCATGTTTTTTTGTTTTTGTTTTTGAAGAGAAGACAGAGGCAGAAATGGAGCAGGAGAAAGAGTTGGGAAGTGACTGTAATACTACCAGACAGAGACAATACATGCCTAAAGGGCAGAGCAGGAGGCTGGGGAGGAGGAGACAGATACAAGGTATTTAGGACCTAGAAATGATAGCGACTTTGTGGATTTAAGGGAGTAGAAATAACAGAGACTCTTGGATTTTTGGTTTGGGCAACTTGGGGAATAACAGGGTTATTCACCTAGGAAAAAAGTTCAGGAGATTTTGGAGGCAGAAGGATGGTAGGTTATTTTTCAGACCCTTAGCTCGTGGAACCCCAAGGTAGAAATGTCCATTGACTGTTGTAGGTTTGGATCAGGAACCCAGACCAGTGATGAGGAATAGAGTCATTGCTTAGATATGGCGGCTGTCTTCACTGGCCAATAAGTGAGCTACAGTGACCCTGCTTCTCCAGCCCCTGGGGAAGCCCAACTGTAAATGAGAAAGACAGCTCCTTCCAGTGGGATTCTTTCCTAATCTAAAGGCATTCCCGATTGACAGGATTAGTGAAGGACGACAGAAGAAAGTCATTACTGAATAATCCCCTGCACATTTCATAGTCAACACAGCATTCATATGATCCTTGTAATCCAATTAGGTGATGCAGGAAGCTATATCTTAATTCCTGACTTCATTGTGACTTGCCTGGTCACAGGCAAACCTTGTTTAATAAGGTGTCACCTAAACACTGAGTGGTGCATACAAAATGGGCACAGAACGGTGATGGGGTTGGGGGCTGAGGGGAGGAGGTGACTGCTGTTGAGAATATGTCCTGTCTCAAGCAGCCAATAGGGGACTTAGAAGCTCCATGTCCTCATCAGCGAGGCTTGTGATTGGAGGAGGCTTGTGATTGGAGGAGGCTTCTGATCGGTGGAGGCTTGTGATTGGAGAAGGCTTCTGATTGGAGGCAGCTTCATCTCCCCTTCTCTCCATCCATTTTGCTCCTCCGGACCTGTGTGTGACAACTGTCTGTCTGGTGGCTGGAACTCATCTGACAATAGGAACAACAATCATTTTTACATGATTGCTACTTACTGAGGGCCCACTTCATACCTGGCATTTTACACACCTGGCCCAAAACACCCTTGGGCAGAGTAGATTGTATCCTCATTCTAAGGATGAGAAAACTGTGACTCAGAGAGATTAAGGCATTTGTCTCAGGCCACACAGCTAGAGTTACAGCTGGGATTCAAATCCAGATCTGTTTGATTTCCTTTTATTTTTATTTTTTGAGACACAGTCTCACTCTTTTGCCCAGGCTGGAGTGCAGTGGCACAATCTCGGCTCACTGCAGCCTCCACCTCCCAGGCTCAAGCAATTCTCCTGCCTCAGCCTCCCAAGTAGCTGGGATTACCAATGAGTGCCACCAAGCCCGGCTAATTTTTGTATTTTTTGTACAGATCTGTTTGGTTTCTCAAGTTAGTGTCATTCGCCTCTGGCACCATGCCCTTCTGAGGTGAGATTCCAGAACTGACGTGCAAAAAATGTGCAAAAGGCCTCCTGAACTGTAGCCCGGGCCAGTCCTGGCCCGCATGTCCATGTGAGGGCTGGTTTGCCTCCATCCTCCTTGTGCATGTGACCCCAGCTGTGGGCTTATGTGGACCGGATGAATGTGACTGTAGTTACACCTAGATCACAAACAACATCTGAGAGGAGGTGATGCCTCTGATCTCTATCAGACCACGAGGAAACTAGAGAGTATGGAGTCTACTCCAAGTGCTGGGCTAGGCCCCAGCCTTATGGCTTATGCTGGGATCTCAAATTCCAGGCCACACTGGGCTACCCATGTAAGGTCAATGAGAGAAGTAGGCCAGGTGGGGGCAGAGGCAAATTAGAACAAGCCCATTCACCCTAACAGAGGTGATCCATTCTCAGCGCCAATCATTTTACCATGGGGAATGCATTCCAAGTTGCTCAGTCTTCTGGTTTTCCAGAAGACTCCAGAAATACTTATTCTTATGGGCATTATCCCAATTTTAAAATGGTTACAAATTCACATTTGTAAAAAAATAAGCTGTATGTGAGTGTACTGGGTTAAACGGCATCCCTCCAAAATCATGTCCACTCAGAATCTCAGAATGTGATCTTATTTAGAAATACAGTCTCTGCAGATATAATTAGTTAAATTAAGATGAGTTCATACTGGGTTAGAATGGGCTAGAAATCCAATGACTCATCTTCTCCTAAGGCCATGTGAAGACATGCAGGAAGGTCACGTGCTGATAGAGGCAGGGACTGCACTGGTGCATCTACAAGCCAAGAAACACCAAGGAACGCCAGCAGCAACTGGAACCTAGGAGAGAGCCATGGATGCTTCTCCAGATCCTCTAGAACCAACCAACCCTGCTCATGCCTTGAGTGTGGACTTCTGACCTCCAGAACTCTCATTCTCCAGGACGAGAGAATAAATTCATGTTGTTTTAAGCCACGCTGGTTGAAGCGATTTGTTATGGTGGCCGTAGGGAACTAAAACAAAGAGCCAAACCCACCAGGGCTGCGAGAGGAATGTGCCCAACTGTCCTTCCCATGATCACAGGATCATGCTCTTGATCCTGTCCCTGTCCACCTCCTCGTCTGAAGCTTGACTGATTCACTTTCTCCCTTGCATTGCTGCCTGTCCACTATGCTGGCCTCCATCCTTCCTGGGCTAGTTCCGATGTCCCCATTTTAACAGCATTTCCTGATATTGGCCACTCTAAGCCTTCCGTGAGCAGTAGATGGTCCTGCTCTGCACCCTGAAATCTGCCTGCTGTCTGTCAGTCAACTGGAGTTGTTTTCCAAAGGAAGCTGATGAGAAAATCCAAAGGCTTGTCTTCATCCATTCTCCGTTTTTCTTCCAGAGCTTCCAACAGCTGGAGGCCGCCTCCTCTTTTTGGAATACCCTGCTCTTTTGGCAGCCCTGGTCCTGCCCTTCCAAGGTCATCTGAGCACCTTTCATCACTTCCCTTGGCTCCGTGATAGCCTTTTCTTTCATCCTCCGGTCCCTTCAATGTAGGCATTTCAGGCCTATTCTCTTCTCTATGCTTTAAATAAGCTAACTCAGTGGCCCTCAACTGGAAGTGATATAGCCCCCTAGATACATCTATCAATATCTGGAGACATTTTTCATTGCCACAACTGGGTGACCCTGTACTACCGGCACCTAGTAAGTCGAGGCCAAAGGCATCCAAGGGGCACAGGATAGCACCTGACAATAAAGAATGATCCAGCCCAAAGTGTCAACAGGACCACAGTTGAAAAACCCTGAGCTAACAGAATCCCACTTTGATGCTCTTGATCATTTATCTCATGACTTGTGCCTCTCAAGGAACTCTAGTCTTGAATGTGTTCAGAAGGAAACAGTTCACGCATTGCTTCTTGGAGATTTCCAATGTGCATTTGCCCTTGAAAGGCTCTGACAAGGTCTGCAGCCAAATAAAAACTTGCTTTGCATTTGTTTAATCCACCATTTCCTAATGTATTTGAATACAGAAATCCTTTGTTTAGGCAATAATCACTATCATTCTTCTGAAGTAAGCTGCAGTATCTAACAATTTATTGAGCATTTACCATGTTCTAGAGTGTCCTAAGCACTTCACACATCCTACAGGGCCTTTCTCCCCACAGGCAGTGGGGGGCAGTGGGGTGCAGTGGATAACAGTGTTGGCTCTGGAGTCAGGTAGCTGGCTTGGAATTTGCAGCCACATCAGTTGAGCTGTGTGACCTTCATAAATGCCTTCATTTCTCTAAGCCTCAATTTCCTTACCTTTAAGTGAGGGTACAGCCATGCATCACAACGATGGGATACATTCCGAGGAGTGGATTGTTATGAGATTTTGTTGCTGTGAGACTATCACAGAGCGCAGTTACACAAACCTACATGGGGTGGCTTAGCACATACCTAGGTTATATGCTCCTAGGCTACAAACCTGGACAGCATCATACTGTACTCAATACTGTAGGCAACTTTAACACAATTTTAAGTATTTGTGCATCTAAGCATATCTAAACATAGAAAAGGTACAGTAACAATATGGTATAAAAGATAAAAATGGTACACCTATATAAGATACTTATCATGAATGGAGCTTGCAGAACTGGTAGTTGCTCTGGGTGAGTCAGTAAGTCGTGGGTGAATATGAAGGTGTAGGACATTACTGTACATTACTGTAGACTTTATAAACACTGTACACTTAGGCCACACTCAATTTATAAAAAAATAAACTATGATGTTATGACTACAATGTAACTAGTCCATAGGAATTTTTCAGCCCCTATAATAGGGCTGAATAGTCAACGATGGACTGCACATACAATGGTGGTCCCGTAAGATATTATAATCTTATTATAATAATCTATTATTATATATAATCGATAATTATATATATTATAATATATAATAGATAATAGATTATAATCGATTATATATAATATATTATACAATATATACTATATATAAAATATATAATATATATTATATATACACCTTCATATTTGATTATATGTAATATATTATATATAATTATTATTATAATCTATTATAATAAGATTATAATATCTATATCTATAATAGATATTATACTCTTATGGGACCACCATTGTATATGCAGTCCACCGTTGACTGAAACACTGAAACATACAGTGCATGACTGTGTCTGTGTGTCTGTGTCTGTGTGTGTGTGTGTGTGTGTGTGTATATATATATATATATATACATATATATATATATATTGCCCATGTCAAAAAGTTCTGAATCTCAAATTAGATAAAACTTGCAAAGGGCTTTATGGTATGTTCTCAGTAATGTTGATTATTGATTGATTGATGATGATGAAGATGGCGGTGGTGTTGGCAGTGATGGTGGTGGAGGTGATGGTGATAGCTGTGATGACTGTGAAGGCGATGACAGTGGTGGTGATGGGGATAACAGGATGGTGGTGAAAGAGATAATAAGGTGGTGGTGATGGTGATTCTGATGGGGGCGGCAGTGGTAGAGGTGATAGTGGTGTTGGCAATGGTGGTAGTGATGAAGATGGTGATGATATGAGGTGGCGGCCTTCGTCATGGTGTTGGTGATAATGTTGGCAGCGGTGGTGATGGTGGTATTGTACTCTCTATTTGGACTGTCCTTCTTGACCTGGTGAAATTATATACTCGCCTACTTATTTATCTCAAAGACTACGACGTTTTCACTGATTGCCCCCTTTGGGCATAATTCTTCCTCTTTTGTGTCATATTTTTTTAATGCCTCCACCATATCACTCTCTGACATACACTATCAGGACTTGTCTCCTCTGCTCTTCAGGGGGCACCTTCCCTTCACCTGCCACATACAAAGAGGGGCCGTTTAATAAATGCATGTTGACATCAAATAGGGTGGATTATGGGGCACCAGAACCTTCCAACAAGCCTCTCCCCAACTCCACAGGAAAAATGACAACAGAAAGCAACTCGATGAGAATTTTGCATCCCCTGCCGGCTTCAAGGAGACCTCAAGGCAAACTCATGCCCAGCCTCAAAACACTCAGAAAATGGGAGGTGGCACCAGAAGACAAGTTTCATTGCAGGCCAGGCACTGCCCATCCTGCTTGAAAACAGTGAGTGATGGATGCCAGTGCTGAGCAAAGCAAAAGGAGGGCCTGGAAAGGAAGCAGCCTGGTTTCCCGCTGCAAGCTAGTGATGGAGACTTCTGACTGCGGAAGCGAGCAAGAGTCCTCAGAGCAGAAATTTAAGTAGGAAGGTGTGGTGCAGGGCTCTGCGCATACTAAGCGGCCTGCAGACGCGCCCTGCTTCAAAGCAGAGATTGCAGGCTGCCAGCTCCTGGGCCTGCCCAGCCTGCAGACAGCTTTTCTTGGGCTCACACTCTGTTGTGCTGCTTTGTTTTAAATTAAAATAGTTGTCAGTTAAATCAAGAGATTTCAGATTAAAACTCAGATTTCTTACAAAAAGAATAATAATTGGAAGAGTGAGCAAGCAAGCCTGGGCCTGCAGTTCTCAAGGCAAGGGAGCCTGGGGCTTTACACTATCGTGGAGCTAAGTGAGTGGCAGCTTCTACCTGCCTACTCCAGGCATTGACATCCTGCCTGGCCCCTTGGGGTATTTTGTGACGCTTGCTATAAATACCACCAGTGTATGAAATGCCAACTTCATCCTGGTTAAGCGCACGTGCTTGGGGGTGCGGCAGACTTGGCTTCACATCTTGGCTCTGATTTTGCGTAGCTGGGTGATTTCAGGCAAGGTTACTTGCTCTCCCTAAGTCCTAGTTTCCTCATGGGCCAAGCAAAGGATGCTAATGACATGGCTCCTCCATACTGAAGGATTCAAGAAGACCGGACCTAAGACACACTTATGGAGTGATTCTCATAACTGGTACCTGTGTCAACAGTGAGGCGGGTACTGCTGCCACGCCCATTTTGCAGAGGAAAAACCTTAGACTGGAGGGATGAAGTGATTTGCCCAAGAATGCCTAGCTTGTGAGTGACAGAGCCTGGATTCAATTGCAGAAAGCCTGCCTTCTGCACCCAAGTCATCACCACTTCCAACTCTAGATGTTTCACTCCCAAGTGGCAAAATCATCCCTCCATTTCAGCTCTTGCAAATCTCTGGGCCTACCTTTATCCCCGCTTAACTGTTCAGTTACATCTTTGCCTTTCCGATGAGGCTCTGATCAACGCTAAGTCTTGAGATACTAAGTTCTGCACAGCTATCACCCGTTTGCCTAATGAATAATGAATAAATACCTAATAAATAAATAATGGGTAAATAAGCACATAAGAAATCAATCAAATCAGCTAGTGGGTAGAGAGTAGATAAAAACAACAACAAAAAACTAACAGCTCATTGACTACTCTTTTTTTTTTTTTGGCATTTCTAAAATCTCTCTGGGATCATTATACATTTCACAGCAGCACTCGAAGAACCCTCCCCATGTGGGAATCCAGCAAACTGAGCCATGTGATAAAATAAATAAATAAATAAATAAATAAACCATCTTCTCTGCAACCCTAAGGTTCAAGTCTACCCTGAGCAAAGTGAACCCAGCATTCCTTGGTGCACATCCACAGTAAATGATTACTTAGCCCACAGAGAAATGTCTGTCTGCAAGACTGTGTTAGTTATTATCCTATCATAATAAAACAGATTATGCTATAGTAATGAATACGACCATAATGGTCTGCGGCAGTTTAATCAATGCATTCTTCAACTGCAACTGAGCAAAATAGGTAATGGAGGATCATTTGATCTACATTTTTATTAATTTGGTGTCATCTGTCTCCTGGTTATTTTAATCATCTCTCATTATGAGAAAATGGGAAAACTTCCTGAAAAAAAAAAAAGTAGAGTCATCTTGCTCTATTTTATTCCTCGCTTTGTTTTAGTGTGAAAAGTAGCTTGTTCCAGTTCAGTTTGGGAATGGAGGTTACTGATGCCTGATTAAATGTAGTTCTAGATTTCAGAGGGAAAAGCTCCCTTATCTCACACAAGTCAGACAAAGCTGTTCAAGTCATACACAAGTTGAGACGTGTTGAAAGTGGCCTGGAACCACTAACAGCCAAATCATCATCATTATCATCTTTTTTTTTTTTTTTTGGAGACCTACTATGTGCTGAATGTGCTGAGCATGGTGCTGGGTGAGCTCTTCTCTCCAGTCCTCCCACCCATCCTGCAAAAGGACGTACCAGTATCCCCATTTACAAATGGGGTTCAGAGAGGTCAGCTAACCTGGCCAAAGGTCACACAGCTGGAAAGAGGCAGTGGCAGACTCCAAACTCGAAGGGCCCCGTCTCAATGCCTCTCAGTATTTCTTGTATGCACGAAAGGGACTGTTTGTTTCTCAGTCCCCAAAGACGCGCTGAGTCACGGTAGAAATTATGCATTCAGGATACTGAGTGGGGAATTATGACAAATGCTTTCTTTGCAGTTCCTTTAAGGACTGTGTCTCTCTTGATATAGCTTTCTGGCTTAAAAAACGTTTGCCTAGTGCCTGCATCTGTTTACAGAAAATCTGACGTGTTGGTAAATTTGCACCTTGAGTGTCCTCCAAGTAACAGCTTTAGTCCAAACCCAGGTTCTAAGGGCAACCATCCCTAGCCTTTTAATCACATACATCACTCTCTATTACTTAATCATTGTTATTATTATTATTATTGAGACAGAGTCTTGCTCTGTAGCTCAGGCTGGGGTGCAGTGGCCCAACTGCTGCTCATTGCAACTTCTATCTCCCGGGTTCAAGCAATTCTCCTGCCTCAGCCTCCCGAGTAGCTGGGACTACAGGAGTGCGCCACCACACCCAGCTAATTTTTGTATTTTTAGTAGAGACGGGGTTTCACCATATTGGTCAGGCTGGTCTGGAGATGCCTTTTTCATCAACAGATCAGCATGGCCATGTGTGGCCCTGAAGGCTTAAGGTTGCTAGATCTTTCCATTTATCTTGAGGGAAGCTGGAGATCTTGAAATTTAAATACAAGCATCTGATTTTTAATTATTAGCAACTAATTCAGAAAATTCAAGCATCTAGCCTGGGCCTGGCATCTTGCTGGCTTTAGTCTCCATGCTAAGAGTGAAAGTGAGCATGTGTAGGGTCTTACCACCTCTTCTTCCTTTACGAGTCTAAATGGCTATCAGGAATCAAAGACACATGGACTTTTTGTTAGAGGGACTAAGGAGTGTCAGTATCACAACTGAAATGGAGAGTACAAAAAAAAAAAAAAGGCTGGACTTGGTTGAGGGGACAGTGTGGAAAAACTGATGTGGGACTGTGACCTCAGTGGGACATCGGACTGGTGATGCCCATTGTAGTTTCCCGGGGCTGCCCTAACAAAGTCACACAGCTGGGGGGCTTAAACAGCAGAAACTTACTGTCTCATAGTGCCGGAGGCTGGAGGTCCAAGATCCAGGCGTTGGCAGGGTTCGTTTCTTCTGAGGGCTGAGAAGGAAGAATCTATTCCATGCCTTTCTTCTGGCTCCTAGGGAATTGCCGGTAATTCATGTTCCTTGGCCTTGAGATGCATCACCTGTCTTTACGTCCATGTTCCCTTGGCATTCTTCTAGTGTGCATGTCTATCTGTGGGTCTGAACGTCCTCTTTTTATACGGACACAGTCATGTTGGATTAGGGCACGCTCTAATGACCTCACTTTAACTTGATAATTTGCAAAGACCCTATTTCCAAATAAGGCCACATTCACAAGTCCTGGGGCTTAGGAATTCAACCTATTTTGGGGGATACAATGTAATCCATAATATCTACTTAGCAATTGAGTATAGGATTCTGAAATTCTGAAGAGAGGCTTGATTTAGGTATAATTGGCATTTAGGTGGCTGTTCAACGCAGAAAGTAACGTAAAGAACAATGTTCAGGTGAGTCTTGTTTGGGGATTTAAAAGATGAAAGATTCTAAGGATGTGTAATATACGAAGTTTGGTGCTTCTCAAACTTTAATGTCCATAAAGTAGAAATACTGGTATTCAACTTACAATCCCAATTATTACATTATTATTATTTGAAGGGCTCCAGAAGGAGATCTGTGTTTTTCAGTATTTTTTCCCCATTCTCATTCCAGGAAGAAGTTCCAAAATACATTAGAGAAACTATTAATTTTTTTTTCCAAATGGACTTTTCTCACCCCACAAGTTGGCCTCCCTTGGGGTGACTCCTGCCCTCTCCTCTGCCTTCCCACACTCAGCAATGTGTCTTGGTTGAAGATACTGGTTGGAGGTTTAAGATCAATGCCCTTCGTCCTGACAGGCAGTGAACTGGTTTTTCAGAACCTTTCTCATGACTCCAGGAAGTGCACATGTAATTAAACTGAGTCTGTGTTGGGTTTCAGATTAGTGAAGTGTGCCTGTGGCAAAAGGTCTCTTCCTTCCTGAGAGACGCAGCGGTGTAATTAGAATCCGGAGACGGATTCATCAGCATTTCTTACCAGCGTTTCTACAGGATGCTCCAATATTCATCTGGGCCTAGTTCTGCTTCCTGGGAGACCATGGGATGTTGTTGCTGGATGCCATCTGCTGGCAAAATGCAGGGGTTCCTCTCGGGTCACTTGGGTGACACTGGGGGTTCAGTCCATTCCAAGCAAGTTAGCTGAGAGCCCAGGTAAAAGTCAGTAGCAGGCTGGTAAGTGTCTGTCCTTATTTCCAAGTCAGTATTAAAATGGTCCAGGCGTAAGGCTGGCTCCAAATCCCTCTGAAGGTCATTGTTCATGCATTAGCAGTTCAGCAAACATTTGTAGAGCATCTGGTACATGTCAGGCCATTCCACCTTCACTTAGCATCCTTTCGGTGAGGGCAGTGGTACCTGGCACACAGGCTGGGGGATTTTTATCATGAGCTGAAGTCAGAGCACTTTTTCCCCTGGCCTTTCCATTCATCCACCCCATCCCTAAAAGTCAACTGAAACCCTGGAGAAACAAGTTGCAGTTATTCCTTGTTAAATCTGTAATTTATTCCCATTAATCCTTTTTGAAGACAATGGCAAATCTGTAAAATGTTCAAATACACACAGGAAATAGCAGGCCGGAATTTTCAGCTTTTGTCTTAGAACAGGAGTCAGCAGACTTCTTCTGTAAAGAGTTAGACTGTAAATATTAGGTTGGTGCAAAAGTAATTACGGTTTTTGCTATTGAAAGTGATGGCCAAAAGTGCAACTACTTTTGCACCAACCTAATAGTTTAGGCTTTTGGAGCTGCACAGTTTCTGTTGCAACCACTCAGCTCTGCCCTTGAGGTTGGAAAGTAGCCACAGATGATGCATAAATGAATGGGCGTGGTAGTGTTTTTACAAAAGCAGACTGGCAGCTGTCTTTGGACCCAGGACCCCTGTCTTAGAGAAATCAGGTTTTGTGATGCTGTCGGACCCCAATAAGGGAAAACTCTAAATTCCCTTTCATGGCCTACAAGGTCCTGCATGACCAGATCCCTGCCCTCCTCTTTGTCTTCAGCATCTATGCTTCTTATTGCTAATTAAACTTCAGCTATCCCTTCCGCCTTCTGGCTCTTAGTCATGCCAAGTGTGTGGCAACTTTAGGACTTTTGCAAAGCTGTTCTTTCAGTTTCAACGGCACCAGTGGAGCTGGACTCCATCCTTTTCAGTTTCTCCCACTTCTATCAACTTTTCCAAATAAGTCGAGGAGTTTACGTGATCTCACAATGGGGTGAGATATCTCATGATATGAGGTAGGGCAGTCATCTGCTCATTTTCTAGATGCAGTAATTTCTCCATTTCAGTCAGTGATAGCAACACCAATCAGGTCCTCTAATGAACAATCCAGGTGTCTTCTTCGATTCCTCCCCAGCCTCATCTCTACAGCCAACAGACTGCCAAATTCTGCCAAATTTGCCTCCTGAATTGTTTTCAAATCCAACTTTTCCTCTTTCTTAATTGAACCTATTGTCATTTCTTGCCTAGACTACCCCAAAGGCATGCTTACTGGACTCTTCACTTGCAGACTTGGACCCCTGTAATTCATCCATCCATCCATCCATTCATCCATCCATCCATTCATCTCATTCATCCATCCACTCACCCACCCAGTCCATCCATCCATGATCCATCCATCCATCCACTCATCCAGTCCATTCATCCATCCATCCATCCATCATCCATCCATCCACTCACCCAGTCCATCTATCCATCCATTCATCCCATTCATCCATCCACTCACCCACCCAGTCCATCCATCCATGATCCATCCATCCATCTACTCATCCAGTCCATTCATCCATCCATCCATCCATCATCCATCCATCCACCCACCCAGTCCATCTATTCATCCATCCATCCATCCATCCATCCATCCATCCCATTCATCCATCCACTCATCCACCCAGTCCATCCATCCATCCACTCACCTAGTCCGTCCATCCATCCATCCATCCATCCATGCATCCCATTCATCCATCCACTCATCCGCCCAGCCCATCCATCCATGTTCCTAGTCCATTCATCCATTCATCCATCCACCCATCCATCCATCCACCCACCGAGTCTGTCTGTCCTTCCATCCATCCACCCACCCAGCCTGTCCATCCATCCATCCACCAACCACCCACTCGCTCAGCCAGTCCATTCATCCATCCTTTCATCTGTCTGTCCAATTCACTTATCTTTTTATCCATCCATTAATTGACTCATCCCATCCATGTTTTCATCCACTCAACCCATCTTTCCATATATCCACCCATCTTCTCATTCATCCCTCCATTTATCCATCCAGTGTATCTACTTAGTACCAGGTGGTGTAAGTAGTGAAAAAAAATATTTAGAACCTGCCCTCCTGGATCTTTTAGTTTAATTTGGAAAAGGGATGCTAAACAAACTACACAAATACATGCATATTAATAAACTGGAATAAATGCTATAAAAGAAAAGTTTTGCCTGAGAAAGCATAACTGGGTTTAAACTCAGATCCAAGGAACTGCATGAATTGCTGGGAGAGGCATGAGAACAGGGGTATGGACAGGAAGACTAGCATGTGGGGAAGCCTTCAGCTACAGTCTGCTTTCTCTAGGGGATGCAGGAACAGGGAGAATGGGTGAGAATAAAGGGAGATAAGGTTGAAGAAGGAGGTAGGCCAGACTGCAGTGAGTCCTGAAGGTCTCACTGACTTGCAATGGGGAAAGTCCTTGGCAAGTCTTCAGCAGACGAGCCACACAGTTCCAAGTACATCTTAAGAAGCACACTCTAGATGCAGAATGAAGATTCACTTGGGAGAGGCAGGGAGCGGGTATGAGACGCAGATGTGAGCAGGTAAGTTAGGAATGTATTGCCACAATCTACATGACAGGGATGTTGCAGAAGAGACAGAGAGAGAAATGGACCCAGCAGTGATATTCAGGATGTAGAATTGGAAGGTCTTGCTGCTGGTTGAAATGTGAGAATGAGAACTAACCTTTTTCAAGCTCTTCGGGACCAAGCCTGAACCAGCCTCAGTGGCCTGAGCTTTCCAGAAGGAAATAATGCTTTCTTTAATGATGAGGATAGTAATAAGATAATTAGCACTGAACAAGCACCTACTCTACAAGCACCAGGTACTTTATTATGTATTACACATCATTCCATTTAGGAGAACCTGTTGGATAGATACTATCATTAGCCCCATTTTAGAGACGGGGAAAAATGAGGCACACAGAGGTTTAGGTGATGTGCTCAATGTTCCATAGCTGTTGGTAGACCCAGGATTCAACTCTAGAACCCCAATGATTAGAAGCCCATGTCCTTGACCATCTGGACAGGACCATTTCCAGTATTCCACATTTCACAGGATCCTATTCCATGTTTTTGGAGCCAGAGAACTCCGGCGTAGACACCCCTCTGCCACCCCGGAGAGAAACCTCATAGGATTCCAGACGCATAAGTAAAGTCTGGAGGCTGAGCTCCGCTGATCTGCTGCAGTCTTTATTGCTCTACAAATGCATTATTAATCAGCCACTGGGGTCCTCCCCATAGAGCCTTTTAAATTACAGTTAAATTCCTTGATAGCGTTTCATGCACCTAATGGTGCAGTTCCTGTGTTCACGGCAATAAACAAGGGGAGAGAGGGAGGCCTGGATAACCAGGTTAATTGCTCTTTGAGGTTTAGGCTGAGAAAGCAATGGCAACAGCACCTCTAAATTCTCCAGGTCCCTCACTGCAATGCTAATAAAGTCTTGAAACAAACAGCGCTGTCAAGCCAGCATCAGGAGTAGAGACTACAGTTTCTTCATGCCTGGCCCACTGCCGTGGCTTCGCTGGGCCTCCAGGTCACCTTGCCAGGGCCCTCCTTCTTGGGAGCTTTCAGTGTGAGTGCGTGAGTGCATGGAGATTTGGTTTTTAATGGCCATAAAATTTCAGTTTTGCAAAACGAAAAAGTTCTGGAGATGGGTTGCACAATCAATGCAACAATGAGGAGAGGGAGGACAAGAGGCAGCATTGACGTTGGAACTGATGGGGCACCCCTGGGAACTTGCTGCTTCCTTACGAGTCTCTTACTCCCAGGTTATGAAACGGTTGACTTTTAGGGGATACAGTGTGGGGAAGAGGCAGTTAACTAGCCTATCTTCTGGAACTGTCTTCTCCACATGCTGGAGTTGGAAGGTGATAGCAGCCAGGGAGCTCTCCAAAGCAGGAGTATTAGTCTTTCACACTGTTGATAGAGTCATACCCGAGACTGGGTAATTTACAAAGAAAAAGAGGTTTAATGGACTCACAGTTCCATGTGGCGGGGAAGACCTCACAAGTATGGTAGAAGGTGAAAGGCACGTCCTACATGGCCGCAGGCAAGAGATAACTTCAGCTGGGGAACTCCTCTTTATAAAACCATCAGATCTCCTGGGACTTATTCACCATCATAAGAACAGCAAAAGAAAGACCCACCCCCGTGATTCAATTACCTCCCACTAGGTCCCTCCCATGACACATGGGAATTGTGGGAGTACAATTCAAGATGAGATTTGGGTGGGGACACAGCCAAACCATATGAGCAGGGGTTGGCGAATTATGGTCTTGGGCCAAACCCAGCCATCCATTTTGTAAACAACATTTTATCAGAGCACAGACATGCCTATTCATTTATGCACTATCTACACATTGAGTTGAGTAGTTAGGACAGAGACCTTCTACTCTGCAAAACCTGAACTATTTATTATCTAGCCTTTTACAGAAAGTTTGTCAATCCCTATGTTAAAGTGTAAATCAGATTGTGCTACCGTCTTGCTCAAGACCCATCCAGGGCTCCCTACGACCCTAGAGTAAAGGTCAAATGACTTATCTGGAACAAATCATCTAGCCTCACTCTGCAGGAGAATTGTCATCTGTGAAATGGGAGAATGAAGAAGCCTACTTCACCAATTTAGAGCAAGATTTAAATGAGGCAATGCATGTTTCAGAAGAGCTATTTTTAAAAAATGGTAAAACACACAACATAAAATTTACCGTCTTAATCATTTTAAGTGCACAATAGTGTTAAGTATATTCATATTGTTGTGCAACCAATCTCCACAACTTTTTCATTTTGCAGAATTGAAATTCTACGGCCATTAAAAAACAAATCCCTGTTTCTCTCTCCCTCAAGCCCCTAGGTCTCACCATCCTACTCCTGTCTCTAGGAATTTAATTACTCTAGATACCTTGTGTAAGGGGGAATCACACAGTATCTGATCTATGGTGACTGGCTTATTTCACTTAGCGTGAAGTCCCCCAGGTGCATCCATGTTGCAGCATGCGATAGGGTCTTCTCCCTTTTTAAGGCTGGCTAGTATTCCACTGTATGTGTAGACCACATTTTGTTTATCCTTTCATCTGTTCATGGACACCTGTGTTGCCTCCACCTTTTGACTACTCTGAATAATGCTCCTATAAACAAAGGTGTACAAATGTCTCTTTAAGACTCTGCCTTCAATTCTTCTAGGTACACACCCAGAAGAGCTAACTTTTATTGAGCACTTTCTAGAGACAGCCTCTGCTTTAATAATTCACACAGATCCTCTCATTCTATCCTCACAACAGCCCTACAAGGTGAGAACTATTAAGACTATCATCATTAGGGTGACCAGATAACTTATTATGGTCAGTTTATGAAAAGCCTGCCAATCCCTTTGTTAAAGTCTAAATGAGATCACAGCACTGTCTTGCTCAAAACCCATGCATGGCTCCCTAAAGGTCAAACGAATTATCTGAAACAAATCATCCAGTCTCACTCTATAGGAGAATCCTCATCAGGTTAGAGTGAGACTGGAGAACTCTTGAGAGGAAAAAGGGGCTCCATTACTAACTATACCAGGATGACAGGCACAGATCGGGATTGTCCTGGGCAAACCAGATACCAATCATCATCCCCATTCTATAGATTAAAGATCAAGCAACAGAGCAGTGAAGTCCCTTGCACAAGGTCCCGAGTGAGGGAGGGGCACAGCTAAAATTCAAACCCAAGCCGACCGACTCAAGCTTTCACTGCTAAGCACAGTTCTATGTGCTTAGCACAAGGAGCGGCAACGGTCAGCAATCAATGTGAGGTGTCTCATTATGGACTCTTCAGGCTGGGGAGAGGGGTCTTCAGGACGCAAAGGGTCATCAAGGGCTGAGAAAGTCAGAGGGGTGAGGGGGAGGCTTTTCACACCCAGGAGTGAGACTGTGGATGCCAATGTGTCCATACCAAATGTGAACTTGCCCCATGGAGAGAAGCAGATGCCCAGGTCTCCCACCATGCTTGGCCACGGCACCATGGACATTTTGGACTGGAAAATCATTGTGGGGATGTCCTGTGCATTGCAGGATGCTGAGCAGTATCCTTCGTGTCTACGCTTTAGATGCCAGTAGTACCCCCTTTCCCAGTCGAGACAACCAAATGTCTCTAGGCATGTCCAGACGTCCCGAGGGGCTCAGTAGCATTGGTTGCAAACCACTGAATCAGGGAAAGGGCAGAACTAGGGGGAACAGGATGTTCTCCCAGGTCCGGGCTTCTCAAAGTGTAGTTCTGGAGGGCAGCAGCCTCTGGCAGAAGTGTGATTTCTCAGGTTCTGTCCTCGACCTGGGTCAGAATCCCTGGGGGTGGGGCCTTGGGGGGTCTGTTGCCAACACAAGCCCAAGTGTGGCCGGCAAGCACTGTCCTTGACCACGCAAGAAAATTGCTGGGATCTCGGAGGACTAGGCACGAGAGATGTTACTAACGTGAAACCTGAAGAGGGATCCCAGGCAGAATGCAGGATGGAAGATGAGGATGTTTTAGAGGCTGTCAAGGTCCTGTTGGTGACCAATACAGGATATACTGTTATAACCAATACAGGCTTTTCACAGGGCAGTTTGATGCTGTCTATCACAATTTAAAATGGGCAAGCTGTTTGACCTGCCAATTCTATTCTTCAGATGCTCTGTAGCAGCCAGTCTCAACTCAGGATCCCCAAGAGAATTAAGCTCGAATGTCCTGGGGCATCCGTTGTAGGTAGCAAATTAGCTTTTCTCTGATGTATCCAGAATGGTACTAGTTATGTACATCTTTGAGAGATCTGAGAAAACAGTCACTTAGTATAGTAAAAAACTGGCAACAACCTAAATGTCCCTCAATAGGGGAATGACCAATTACACTGTGGTGTATCCATACCCAGAGTTATATGGTCAGCTACTATAAAGAAATAACTTAGGTCTCTAGCTCCAGGCAAGGAAACAGACCTCAGACCTGGACATGTGCAACAACAACAAAAAAATCATCTAACTTGTGAATTCTTTCATCCCACAGCCAGATACTATTAATATATTTTTTACAAGTTTCAGATTTATACATCAGTTTCATATGATTTATGAATCTCTTGTCACAAAACCACACTCTTTTTTTTGACATGTGTTGAGTTTAGATATCTAAAGAAAAACAAAAATGTACACACAAGTGCCACTGCTCAGATGGGACTGACGGATCAGGGTGGATTTTCCCCTTATCTGCAATGTTTCAGTATTTTAAAATAATGAGAATGTATACAGCCTTGACTTGAGGAATTAGATTTTAACAAGCATCCTTTCTGCATTATTTGGGCAAGTTCTTAAAAATCGTGAGGAGAATTCTCCTTTCCCTGCCTTCTCACCATCTTTTCACTTTGGTCGCTGCAAATATCACCGGGGACTGGCTCTTGGCAGCCTCCCAGTTCCTCTGAAAGGTTTCTCACTCTATCCATGCCACACTTGGAGGTGAGCTATTAATTTGCGCTTTGTGGCTCAGCTCGATTCTGATTTAGGGCAACATAAACCCTCCTCAAAATTGCGAAGAATAAATTAGTTTACTAATTTCGCCATTAAGAGTTTATCAAAGCAAGCACTATTTCAATCGTCTCTTAATCAATCACCATTTTCCGTGTTTATCTCCTGTTCAATTTTTACCAGAGGGTTCTATACACATCAATTTGTCTGATGTTCTTCCTACATATGTTTTAAATTACTTTATCATTGTATAAATTTCACAGCCATTAAAAGGCTCTAACACCAGAATGACTGACATGGTGTTAAAAATTGAATTCAATTCCACGGGGTAATAAATTGTGACCTAAATCCAATCTCTCATGGGTGACTGAAGGATACAATGAAAAATTATTGCTTTGTCATTTTTACACTAACACAAATATACCACAGCAACTAGAAACTGGCAGAGAAATGGGAGGTAACCGCGGCTGGCTATTTCTCACCCCAGGCAATGAACTGACTTCAAACACAAGTCCTTAGCGTCTTGGATGGGATTGGCGCCCCCGCCTCCAAAAGCAGGTGAATTATCTGACTGTGTGGGTGGGTCTCATTGCAACAGACAGATTGAGCACAAGGAGCAAATGTAAGCTGCAAAGGGCTTGCTTCAGCCTGAATGCAGCTGCTCCTATAGACACCAAAGTGCAGTGGTTAAGCCCCTTGCCACGCCACTGGAACCAAAGTCTCTGAGCTCAGAGCCTGGCTCTGCTACTGGTGAAATGTGTAATTCTGGGTAAGTTTTCTGTGTCTCAACTTCTTTG
This sequence comes from Homo sapiens, assembly GCF_000001405.40. Lineage (NCBI taxonomy): Eukaryota > Metazoa > Chordata > Mammalia > Primates > Hominidae > Homo > Homo sapiens. The sequence goes on from NW_019805500.1 coordinate 247,456, forward strand.
AATACAAAGTTGTTATGAGGAATAAATGAGTTAATGTGGCTAAACCTTCTTAGGATAGCCCTTGGCATTTAACAATCCCTACGTAGAGGTTAAGTGTTATTATTTAAGAGCAGTTTCTTGTATAGAGACCTTAGCTCCCTGTTCTTTCTGGCTGCAGAGATGGAGAGTAACAAGTATCAATAGCTAGAGAAAGGTGTTGATTAACATGCAGTGCATTTTCCTTTATCTCTGGAGAAGCTAGATCAGTCATTTAACACATCTGGTTCCACATTTACTAAGGGTACCACAGAGCAGACAAGTTAAGGTGTGGGTTTTGAAGTTAGGCAGAAGTGGGTTTGAGTCTAAGGTCTGTCACTTGCAAATGTGACCCTGGGCAAGCTACTTAACCTCTCTGAGGATCAGTTTCTTCGTCTGTTCAATGGAACTAGAGAACATCCCTTCTCCAGGGCTGTGCAGGAGTCGCGATGAGATCACACATGCAAAGTGCTCGCCTCCACACCTGGCATTCAGGAAGTGCCTAAGAAATGTGGGTTCTCGTGTCCTAGCCCCGTGCAGGCAGGGGCTGGAGATCCAGTGGTGGAGACTCAGGATATGCTATAGCAGCCAGTCTCACCTAAGGGTCCCCAACAGAATTAAGGGTACTCAGCCCTTGTGGCTCAGTGTGGGCTACAGAGCACTCCAGCAACCACGCTATCCTGTGACATGTACCCCAGCAGGGAACAGGCAAGGTGGTTTGGGGGCACACAGCTTGAGCACCTCACACAGACTTGGAGAGGTGCAGTGTGGGGAGACAGCATCACAGAAGGCTTCCAGGAGGAAGTGGCATTGATATGAATTCCTAGCCCTGGACTGCCAAGTAATTTGAGAGAGGAGAAAAGGCCAGCTAGTTTTGTTGACTTATGCAGAAAGGAGAGATAGCTAGTCTTTTCACTCTAGGGCTTATTTCATTCATTCATTCATTTATTCATTCACTCATTCACTCATTCATTCATTCAAGGGCCATGTCTGGGCTCCTTCCTTCTTGCACTAAGTCTCTGTCTTGGGGACCCTGGGTGGCAGACACACAATCAGTTGTGCCCAAGGGAGCAAGCCTCTCATGGAGCAAGAATTCTATGTGCTCTTCGAATCTCCATTCTCTGCCTTGTTCTGGGGCAGCTACTGGGCAAGAACTCATGGAACGCCAAGAAAATCATCACAAACCACCCTGCCATGGAAGCGAGTCTCCCATGCCCACCTGCAGGCTTCCAGAACCACAAGAGCTGCCAATCGAGAGGTGGCCTATGGCTGACTTGTAACAGGTGCTTGGTAAATATTTGCTGGCTAGACCGATGGATTAATGAAAGTACACTCAAATACGGTATTTTATTCAGCAACCTGAGGAGGCAGGGGAGGCCCTTGTGCAATCTGTTTTATAGGAAAGACGTGAGGCTCAGAGAACACAAGTGCCTTGTTCAAGGCTTTCGCAGCCGATAAAGTGGCAGAGGGGCCGCAAGTCTTTTGAGTTTGGTTCAAAGGCTTCTCCTAATCCAGGGTCAGGTCAATGATAGTGAAACAGCCCAGGACACTGAGTCTATGACATTGCTGGAGGCACTGAGGATTTCCTTCCATGGCTTGGATGTCATGAGAAACAGCACTGTAAGAGGAGGAAAGACCTCCCAAAGATGTGTACCCTAAATCCAGGGCTAAGAACTTGGGGGCAGGGGTTGCTTTCCTGATCCAAGATGACCTCTTGTTCAGGGCTCAAAAGTGGAAGAAGCATGATTCTGTAGAGAGAGGATGTGAGACCTGCCCCCCAGTCCCAGCCTGCCAGACCCTTACCTTTGGGGCTGATATAGTTTGGCTGTGTCCCCACCCAAATCTTAAATTGTAGCTCCCATAATTCCCATGTGTCATGGGAGGAACCTGGTGGGAGGTAACTGAATCATGGGGGTGAGTTTTTCCCTTGCTGTTCTCGTGATAGTGAATAAGTCTCATGAGATCAGATGGTTTTATAAAGAGGAATCTCCCTGCACAAGCTCTTTCTCTTGCCTGCCACACTATAAGATGTCTTTTGCCTTCCGCCATGATTTTGAGGCCTCCTCGGCCACATGGAACTGTGAGTCCATTAAACCTATTTTTCTTTATAAATTACCCAGTCTCAAGTAAGTCTTTATCAGCAGCATGAGAACAGACTAATACAGGGGGGCCTACCTTCCCCTCAGGTCTCTGGCAATTTCAGTTCAGTACTGAGAGATGCCTCTACCTCCATTCTCCTTGCTCAAAGCAAAGACACAGATCCTCTAAACCTAGCACTTTTAGGAATTACAACTTGGCCTACGAGCAGATTAACCTTTTTGCTTATAGGAAGAGCTCCCCTGTTGGTCTTGTGAGTGTTTTAAACTATCAACACCTCTGCCTACCCGAGGGCCTTTGCACACGATACTCCCTTGACCTGGAATGTCCCCCTCCAGCTTTTCCTCTAGTTAACTTTCACCACCCTTCATCTCTTAGCTCAACTATAAAACACAACTATGCAACTCCCCAGAATTGCTGTTGCAATTTTACATGTGAATTTTTTTTTTTTTTTTTTTTGAGATGGAGTCTCGCTCTGTCATCCAGGCTGGAGTGCAATGGTGCAATCTCAGCTCACTGCAACCTCCTCCTCCCGGGCTAAAGCAATTCTCATGCCTTAGCCTCCTGAGTAGCTGGCACCCAGGTAATTTTTGTATTTTTAGGAGAGATGGGGTTTCACTATGTTGGCTAGGCTGGTATCAAACTCCTGACCTCAAGCGATCCACCTGCCTCCCAAAGTGCTGTTATTACAGGCATGAGCCACCGCACCTGGCCTACGTGCACATTTTAATGATCGTTTACCCCTGTGTTTCCCTACCCAACTTTAACAGGCCACAAGCTCCCTGAGGACGGGGATTCTATCTGCTTTCCTCCCAAATGAATCCATCCAAACTAGTTCCTGGCATAGACAGGGGATGCTCGATGACTAATTGTTGAATGAGGGTATATTGAAGGGAGCTGGTGACAAACAGTTTCAGGTCCCAGGTGGTGGATGCCATGCTCAGAATACCACCTCCACAGAGATTCTAGATGCCCATTTCCATTGCTTTGCTTGGTGCACACAGGCCTCTGTAGAGACCCCAGTGTGAAGGGAGGTTGAGCCACTGAGGCTAAAAGCAACCACGTTATCTTCTTTCCCAGTGAGGGCAAGACTGAGGATTATGATGTGCCAAGCACGAGATATTCAAAGATGAGTACGATCAGGCCCCTGGCAAGTCTTTCCCCACCATCTAAACCAATGTCAGGCACAAAGCAGCCTCTCAATAAATATTAAATGAATAAAGGAATTCAGCATATCCAAAGACTAGGAACTGTTCCATTTGCAAGCAGCTTAATTCTTAGCAAGTTCTTCCACAATGAGACCAAATCTATTTCTGTTCCTTCTCTAGGCACCTATGTAGTTTTTTTGTTTGTTTGTTTGTTTGTTTGTTTGTTTGTTTTGAGATAAAGTCTTGCTGTGCCACCCAGGTTGGAGTGCAGTGGTGTGATCTCAGCTCACTGCAACCTTGACCTCCCGGGTTGAAGCAATTCTCATGCCTCAGCCTCTTGAGTAGCCGGGATTACAGACATGTGCCACCACACCTGGCTAACTTTTGTTTTGTTTTGTTTTAGTAGAGATGGTGTTTCTCCATGGTGGCCAGGCTGGTCTCAAACTCCTGGCATCAAGCAATGCACCCACCTTGGCCTCCCAAAGTGCTGAGATCACAGGCGTGAGCCACCACACACAGCCTGTAGGCACCTATCTAAATGGTTCCCCACCTCACCTGTCCTCTCATCCTGCTCAACGTCTTCAAATAAATCATAGAGTCATATCCAGACATTAGATTGCAGATGTGGCTATTCACTTGTCACCTCTGGTCTCTCCTATTCAGGTAGAAGCTCCATGAGGGTACAGCCATCTAGACGCCCAATTGATTTCCAGAACCAATGGACATGGTACTCAAGTGGCACAAGGTGTTCTCTGCTCTTGTTCACAGCTCTAACTCCAGGTCCTAGAACAAGGATTGGCAAACCACAGCCTGTAACTATCTATTTTGGCATGGCCCTTGAGCTAAGAATGGGTTGACATCTTAAGTGGGTAGAAAACAAATCAGAAGTAGAACAGCATTTCACAACAAGTGAAAATTATGTGAAACTCACATTTCGGTGACCATAAATGACTTGAACTGAAGCATGCCCACAATGGTCATTTGTTGATGTGTTGTTTATGGCAGCTTTCACGCTACAATGGTAAAGTTGAATAGCTGAGACAGAGACCATGCATTTTACAAAGTCCCAAATATTTATGATCTGGCCCTTTATAGAAACTGTGTGTGTGAGGCCCTGTCCTGGAGCACAGCCTTGAATGTGGTGGCTGACCAATGAATGGGTCTTCTGATGTTCTCTGGATTTGCCAGTCTCTTGCCTTTCCCCAGCAAGCCCAAGGAAGACCTTTGGGACTAGTTTTGTCCAACTCCAATGAACTGTTACTGGATACCTCTTCCTTCCTGGGCTCCTCAGAAGGAGATGCCAAAGGGCCCAGTTGGAACTGCAAGGGCCGCCTTGGGAAAGCCCGTCAACCCCACCCACTTAGCCAAGCTGTTCCTGGTCAATGTGGCTTCATCACATCACCCTCATTAGCGTGGTACCTTTTAACTTTTCACAGCTATTCCCTCATTTTCTCATCATTGGTGATACAGCAAAGGATCTGGGAGAAAGTAGTATCTCTGGCTGACAAATGGGGAAACTGAGGTATTTACCTGGGACCACTTGTGACATCCCCAGTTCTATTTTCCCTCCACTGCGGCTGTCAGCTACGCTTTCTAGAAGCCGGCTACTCACGCTGTGTAGTTACCCCACTGCCCCCAGGGCAGGAGGGATGTAGAAGAGACTGCCCTTAAGCAGCTGGCAGTATCATCTGCCAGTCTCTCTCTGCAGCGAGCGGCCAGCCTTCCCCCCAGAATCCCCATATCCAAAAATCCATTCCTGCAAAGGCTGATGGGTAAAGACGGTTTGTTGCTGCCACAAAGAACCCCCTTCTGTTCATCCTCACCCCTAACACCTGTGCCAGCTTCCCCAGTCATGCGCAATTTCCTTTGCCCATCACCCATTGGAGAACTGCCGACTTCACTCAGATGCCCAGACCGGGGTTCCCCACTCAAGTCCAACCCACCCAGCTCCCAGCCAATCATCTTCCCTGGAACTTCTCACATTTTTCATTTCTAATTCTTCACCTGGATGTCTAGACTGCAGACCCACAGGTCACTTACAGCATCTATGTGGTGGCTTAACCAGACCCAGCAAAGGGGAAGAAATGCAGGAGCAACGCAAGGAGCCAGCAGGGCCTTTCTTGGGACATTTTAACTCAAGACACAGAGAGGCTGGTGGCCGTGAGGGCCACTGCACGGAGGGCGCTTCCTGACATGCAGGTGTTCAAAATGTAATGAGGCAGAAAAAGCTGTGTCACCTGGCAGCTGGCACAGATTGCCTCCTATGGGTCGCAGGTGAAACAGCCTTTATTGGAAAAGATGCTTTGACAATGAAAGGGGCAGAGATGCACCCTTCACCCAGGATCCATGTGTTCCCTGCAACCAGGGCTTCTGGGGAAGAGGTGGTCCTGGAAGGCTTCCCAGAGGAAGCGCATTCAGGGTGGGATCTCCAGAGGCAAGAGGTAACAGCCAAAGTGGGGTGAGTGGGAGTTGTGGGGACAGGGAGGGGGCTGGGGAGGACTGGAAGCTACTGGGGCTGTGTCTGAAGAGCAGACCCAGCAAGACGTGGCTGCACAATGGCTGACACCATCAAAGAAACCCTTTTCCTCTCCTCTCCTTTCCTCTTCTTGTCGCCCCTTCATTTAGACAACTCCTCCATTGCGACGATTAGGTTGGTGCAAAAGTAATTGCAGAAAAAAAAAAGTCATTGTGGTAATACTAACAAGCCAAGCACATCCACTTAACTTCCCCAGTGCACTCAGCATTTTATATGCATTGTCTCATTTCAGCCAACCACGCTATAAAGACAGAAGATGAGTTTTTGTGTCCATTTTACTGTGCAGACTGAGTCACTGAGCGGTTAGGGTTATGTCATGAGTAACGGCAGAGCCAGGAATTAAACCCCATTGCCCAAGCTGTCCTTGACTTTCAATCTGACCTGGTTCATTGCCCTGAAACACTAGGGGTTCCAGTTGAATGACCAGAGACCCTAGGGTGTGTGGCTCAAAACAAATTTCTCGGAGGCCATCACTGGGGGTGATGCAGCAGAGTCCCTTCCCCACACCTCACTGCATCTCCCTCTGCACGGTTGCCAGTGGACAGCCAGAGGAATCCCTCTTCCCCTCGTGAAAACAGCTGTCACCGAAAAGGGATGGAGCTGGGGCTTCCTTCTAAATCCCTTTTCTCTGGAAAGTAAAGGAGAAAAGTCCCGAGAGCAAGGAATGTCTCACAGAAAGCAAACCATCTCCTGGGCTTCTGGACTCGACATTTTCCCTGAGTGGTGGTGGGGTGAGGGGACAGAGAGCGTGAGGGACAGGAGGAGTGGGGGCGCTGTACCAAAGTCAACATTTAAAATCTATTTCTCTTCCCCTGAATTTTTCAGACTTGCAGCCATGAGGAATTGTTTCCTTAATTATATTCAACTTCCAGCACACTCTTGGCTGAAGTTTAGGTGATGTTGCGTAAAGCAAAATGAGAAACACAGGGCATCCATCTGTGTGTATGCTTATATGTATATGAATATTTACTCATATATTAAATTTCCCTCCACCCCTGTCTCCATCTCCTCATTTAGCAAAGAAATAAAAGGACCACTGGGCTGAAGCTCAAATCCCTCCTAAGCAGAGGGAAATCTGGGTGTCATGGTTTCCAGAAAGGGAACACAATCCCCGTATGGGGTGTAATTACATCTTAGCTTTCTGCAGAAGAATAGTTTATGGCTTAAATGCTATTAATTGTAAGCCGTTTTGTTCCATGGGAAGTTGTTCATTGATAACTACCCAATTAGGGTTATTTTGCAATTAGTCTATTCACAGTAAATTTATTGCAAATGGGGGAGTCTGTGGTGTAGCAAATTAAAGCGTCGCTGAGGCTGGGTGTGCAATGGCTTTTAAATGCCAATCTTATTAACCAGCTCACAGGTCCTGGGAGGGTGCGCTATCCTGGCCAGTGCACTAAAGGCCTCAGGACAAACTCCGGCAAACTCACACTGCAAAGCCATCCGGAGATAACCTCAGCATGACCAGGAGAAGTGCAGGAACCCCTGGCCTAAGATGCTGAGGTTCTGATTTTTTTGAACAACTGTGGAGCAGTCATAAAGCAAATAGGGATGCAATGTACATTAGCACTACCAGGTACAGTTCTTAGCTGTGTACTAGGCCCTTGGAAACCCTCTAAGCTAAGTGTGATGATGCTCATCTCCCCTTTACAGATGGAGAAACTGAGGCACAGAGAGGTCAAGCAACTTGCCCAAAGTCCTACAGCTTGTGCACGGGACACCTGGGATTCAGATCCACGTGGTCTGCCTCCACCACCCCAGGCTCTTAAGCACTGACAGCATCAGCACCCCTGGCTTCCCAATAATGCCCTGCCTTCTTCTCCCTTGCAACTTGAGAGAGAGAGAGAGAGAGAGAGAGAGAGAGAGAGAGAGCGAGCCTGCAGGTGGAAGAACACCTCTGGGGCTTGACAATGTGAGATAAAGTGACCCTTCTGCCTCCCCAAGAGGGACAGGCTTATGGAAAGGGATACAGGCTCTGTAACATGAGTTCCAGTACCAGCTCTGTCATCTGCTGGCCATGTGTTTCTGGCCAAGGACTCCCCTTCCTTGAGCCTCGATTTCCTCACTGACAAAAAGGGTTCACAATAGACTCAGCCTGTAGGGCTGGTGTGGGGACACAGTGTGACAAGGCAGTGTTGCACATATTAGCACAGGTGACCCTTGAACAGCACAGGTTTGAACCACACGGGTCCATTTATAAACAGATTTTCTTCCCTCCTGCCATCCCTGAGACAGCAGTAATACCAACCTCTCCTCCTTCTTCTCCTCCTTTTCCTCAACTCAACATAAAGACAAGGATGAAGGCCTTTATGATGATCCACTTCCACTTAATGAACAGTAAATATACTTTCTCCTCCTTATGATTTTCTTAACTTCTTTTCTCTAGCTTACTTACATTTATTTATTTATTTACAATTTTTTGTTGACAGAGTCCCGCCCTGTTGCCTAGGCTGGAGTGCAATGGCACAATCTCAGCTCACTGCAGCCTCCACCTCCCAAGCTTAAGCGATTCTCCTGCCTCAGCCTCCCGAGTAGCTGGGATTACAGGCATGCGCCACCACACCCAGCTAAGTTTTGTATTTTCAGTAGAGACAGGGTTTTACCATGTGGCCCAGGCTGGTCTTGAACTGATGACCTCGGGTGATCCACCTGCCTCGGCCTCCCAAAGTGCTGGGATTACAGGCATGAGCCACCGTGCCTGGCCTAGCTTACTTTATTATAAGAATACAGTAAATAATGGAAGTAACATATAAAATATGTGTTTATCAACTGTTTATGTTACCAGTAAGCTTTCAGTCAACACAGGCTATTATCAGTTAAGGTTTTCAGGGAGTCAAAAGTTGTGCTCTATTTTTTGACTGCAAGGAGGTTGGCACCCCTAACCCCAGAATTCTTCAAGGGTCAACTATAGACAGTGATAGCATTTTGCAGGGTTAAGAAAACTAAAAGCCCAAGGGCCAAATCCGGCCCATGGCCTATTCTTTCTTTTTCCTTTTTTTCTTTTTCTTTTTTTTTTTTTTTTTTGAGATGGAGTCTTGCTCTGTTGCCCAGGCTGGAGGGCAGTGGCATGATCTCAGCTCACTGCAACCTCTGCCCCTTGGGTTCAAGCAATTCTCCTGCCTCAGCCTCTAGAGTAGCTGGGATTACAGGTGCACACCACCATGCCCAGCTAATTTTTTTGTATTTTTAGTAGAGATGAGGTTTCGCCATGTTGGCCAGGCTGGTCTCGAACTCCTGATCTCAAATGATCTGCCTACCTCAGTCTCCCAAAGTGCTGGGATTACAGGCATGAACCACCACACCCAGCCAGCCTATTTTTATAAGTTAGGTTTAATGGGAACATAGCGCATTTGTGTATGTGTGGTCTCTGGCTGCTTCTGCCCTATGACGGATGGCAGACTTGAATAGCTGTGACAAAGACTGGCCCCCAAATCCTCAAATGCCTAAGATCTGGCCCTTCACAGAACAAATGTGCTGTCTCTGATATACAGAAGGAGCTCAATATTTCGTTCATGGAATGGCATTCAACTCAGGCCTCCAAAACTTCTCCACCAGGCACAGGTTAACAAAAGATGCTGGAAACGTTGCACTCCACTTAATTATTGCTACACTCTGTGTGCCAAATCTAATCAAGAATATAGACAGGAACCACCTCGACCACTTAGACAAGGGTGAAACAGCAAGGCAGAAAGGAAGCTTTTCTTTCTAAATCTTTCTATTTAAAAGTATCGTGTAGGCCAGGCACTGTGGCTCATGCCTGTAATCCCAGCACTTTGGGAGGCCGAGGTGTGTGGATCATTTGAGGTCAGGAGTTTGAGACCAACGGGGCCAACATGGTGAAACCCCACCTCTACTAAAAATACAAAAATTATCCAGGAGAGGTGGCAGGCACCTGTAATCTCAGCTACTCGGGAGGCTAAGGCAGGAGAATCACTTGAACCTAAGAGTTGAAGGTTGCAGTGATCTAAGATGGCACCACTGCACTCCAGCCTGGGCGACAGAGCGAGACTGTCTCAAAAAAACAAAACAAAACAAAACAGATAGAAAACAAAAGTATTGCACAGACACATGCTTGCTACTAGAAACTAAAATAATATAGATGCACTTGTTAAAGTTGTCCCTGCTGCCACCCTGTCCCTGCAGATGGGGGGGCCATAAGGAAGGTTTGCTGTCTATCCATCCAGCCCTCTTTCTGTGCAATGAGTGTAGGTGGCCACCTCCTATTTGATCTAAATCCTCTATTCTGTGACCAGTGGTAAACACAGAGGCACATATTTAAAATGAAAAACACCTCTAATTAACTGGGGGACCTGGCATAAGTCTCCTCCCCTCTATGAGCCTCATGTTCTTATCTGTCCAGGGAATCGAATGAAGAGTTCTCACCAGGCGCGGTGGCTCACCCCTGTAATCCCAGCACTTTGGGGGGCCGAGGCGGGTGGATCACTAGGTCAGGAGTTCAAGACCAGCCTGGCCAAGATGGTGAAACCCTGTCTCTACTAAAAATACAAAAATTAGCTGGGTGTGATGGCGGGCGCCTGTAATCCCAGTTACTCGGGAGGCTGAGGCAGGGAACTGCTTGAACCTGGGAGGTGGAGGTTGCAGTGAGCCGAGATCATGCCACTGCACTCCAGCATGATGACAGAGTGAGACTCCGTCTCGAAAAAAAAAACAAAAAAAAGAGTAGCGAATGAAGAGTTCTCTTAAGAGGTCTTTTTAGTCTACTTTTCTGGGGAGCCATTCTCTTGCTGCACTTCCTTTCTTCATCAAGAGAGTTGGGTGAATTGACCATTTGCCTTCTCAGGAGGACACCAGGCAAAGCCTTGCATGGCTCCCGGATGCACCGATGCCGGTGGAACGGAAAGCCCTTCCTCCCCAATTCTGCAGCTGGCTTGATTCTCTGACTTTATGCCTTGACATTGAGCAGCACCTCAGTGGATCCCTTCCAGCTGCATCTGTTGACCCTGACACCTCCCCAATCTCCATCTAGCTCGACTCTGACATGCCCCCAACCCCATCGGAGCCCCCAGAGCTCTCTGTTGCCTCCTTGCTGGCCTCCGTGCTCATTTAAGGGTCTTTTCCCTTCGGAGATAACAAAAGCAGGGGTTGGTATTTGGATTTAGAAGCGACAAGGGGGTACTGTGAACCTTTGGCCACTTTGTGAGGGACAGCTGGGCTGGCCTTGCAGTGTGGCCCAATGAGAAGGAGGGATGGCCAGGAGTAAAGAGTGAAGTAGGCTCCCAGGGAAGGTGGAGCAAAAAGACCCCTAGAATGCAAGCTGCTCCCTGGACAGATAAGAAATCTAGGCCCTGAGAGCAGAAAGGACTCTCCCTGTTAGCTGGTAGCTGAGCTTGAATGAAATCCACACCCGTTTATTTCAAATGCATTCCTCTCTGTTTGTTGCTAGTGGCACCAACTCTTCGTGGGAAGGTGCCTTTTGGATGCTATCCGCCCTCTCCACAGAGAAAACCACTGAGCAAACGAATTCACAAACATTTTGAGAATATCTTCTCCAAGGAAAAAAGTAAAATTTAAGAGTGCTCCCAGAGGCTGGATTATCGTAAGCTATGGTGGCAGGGGCTAGCGGGAGGGAAGGGGGCGTGCCCTAAACAACAGTGACCACGAGTCAATAAACAGCGACCACGTGGCTGGGTGATGGTACATTGGGGTTCTCTCTACTCTGAGTGGGTCCGAAATTTCCTGCCATAACAGTAAGCTTGTAAGATCACTTAAAGGCCATGTGACCTTGGGAGAGGGATTTTACATCTCTCATCTGAAAAAAATTGGGCTCATGACATCAGCATCAGCCTCAGAGAGTGTTGGATGTGATAAACAAATTGACTGCACAGAGCCTGGTGCGGTGTCTAGCACACAGCGAAGCCTCAGCAGCCCCCTGTGGCTGCTGTCATTCCCCTTCCAAGGGCACTAGAGAAGGTGAAAATCACTACCAAGAAATACACATCAATGGCACGATTGCACATGCGCTAGTGAAACTGGACTCCCCATCTTCAGATGGCCCCTCCACTCTGCCTGTGAATTTCTGGATCAGAGCTTGGATCCCTCCGTGTCTCAGCAAGAGAGCTGGTTTATCATCAGGTCATCCGCACATAAAAGAGTGCCAGTGAAGGGAAAGAGGGAGGGGAAAAGCAAAGAGCAAGGAAAGGTGGAAAGAAGGAAGGAAGGAAGGAAGTAAAGAATGAAGGAAGGAAAAGAAGAAAGGAGGGAGGGAGGAGAGAAAAATTAGGAAAGAAGAGGACAGAAAGCAGGAAGGAATGTAGAAGGGAAGAAAGAAAATAGGAAGAAAAGAGGAAAGGAGAGAGAAAGAAAATTAAAATAAGGAAGAAAGGAAATAGGAAAGAAGGAAGGGGGAAGAGAGGAAAATAAGGAAGGGAATGAGAAGAGGGAAGAAAAGGAAAGGGAGAAACAAACCAGGAAGAAAATGAGGAAGGAAGGGAGGAAAAAGGGAGAAAGAAAATAAAGGAATGAGAAGGAAAGAAGGAGGGAAACAGGAAACATATGAGGAAGAAAGAGAAGAGAAGAGGGAAAGAAACTTTTGATGAAGGAAAACGGAAAGTTACAGAGCCTCTGAAGTTAATGCAACCAATTAGAAACCTCTCAAATCATAATCAATTACAATAATATTCATATCAATTCTAATCCCAATATTCTACTGAAAGAGAAACGAAACCATATCAATACAGCTCCCTTGGCTCCTGCCAGCATCACATCAGCTCCCGATTTCACTATAATTTCATCCTTTGCCATAAAGGCAATGGGTTAAAGCACCTACAAAAGGTAATCTGATTTTGCAAAATTTTTCTGATACAAGACTTCAACACTCAGGGAGTACTAGAACACATCAGATCTCGTGTGCTCATCTGGGGTTTGGAAAACAGGGTGGCCTTTCTCAGAAGGTCTGAGAAGGTGAGCAGAATGGGGCTGGGCAGGAGGAGGAAGTGGCCAGGAGATCCCTCTCTGAGCCAGCGGGGTTGGAACTTACCCTCGAGGGGGCAGAACCGAGTCACCTTCTCAGGCATCAGCAGCCCTAACTTGTGGCGGCAGTAAGTCTCCCCAATCTCCTGGCGGCAGTGCTTGGACTTAGCACGGGACAGGGCAGAGATGGCCTCCTTGCCTGAGATGTCACACTTAGGGGGCTGGTCATACTTGGTCTCGGGGGAGCTGCCCCCAGTTTTCCTGGCATGAGGCGGTCTGGACACATCCTTCCCGTGGCTGCTGTTGGCTGCGGCTCTGTCCCCGGGAGGCAGCACCTCACCGGGGCCTTTCCCAGGGAATGTATGTCCTTTTCCTTTCTCCTGCTGTTCCAGCTTCCTTTTCAAAAGCTCCTTCTGTCTACTCGGTGGCTTCTTCGCCAACTCAGGCTGGTGCTTCTGCTTTTGAGTCCTGGGTGCGAAGTTGCTGTTGTCGACATTCTCAAAGTCTTTGGGGACAGAGTTCTCGTTGTTGCTGTCTGTTCGCACTTTCTCTTTCGGCCGATGAGAAAAGTAGCCATCCTGGAGAAGAGGGGAGAGAAACAGAAGAGAAACTTGACTGAGAGATCATGCTAAGCAGACTGGCCTTTGAAGAGTGAGTCATACGGACTTGGAAGCCGGGGCCATAGTTTCACATCCTACTTTTGCTACTGGTTTAACCTCTGGTAAGATGGCTCTCTCTGGACCTCAGTTTCCCCATCTGGAAATAGGAGATGTTCCAACCAGAAACCAAGGCTTTTTCAAGCTCTAAAGTGCCATGACTACGATTCTCAATGCTTCTTATTAACCACACCTTTTCAAGTCAGTTTCTTTCCTTGACTGTCTTTGCCACTGGGTAACAAACATTTTGTTCCAGCGTCCCGTTTAAATTCCAGCTGAAAGTGCTGTGATGGTTTACTTAAGGGCTGGAAATGATATAATAAAGTTATAAAGGGAAAAATATTGGTAGGATATTACATACATTCCATTGCCTTTAGGACATGCTCATATATCTATGCCCATAAGAGAAATCAGACTGAGCCGTTGTAAATTCTGTGGGAAAGAAACCAGCCGCAATTTTTTTTTTTTTTTTTTAAGAGGAATGCAGCCCTTGTAGAATAAACTTTACACTAAGTCCTGGAGCAAAGCAAACTTGCGACACTCTTGTGCTTGAGTTTGGCTCTTCATGTGTGTACATGGAACAGAAGTGATGAAGTCATTTGGGGTCAAGACAAAGATCAGGAGTCATTCTGGAGACCACGCATGGCATGGATGTTTCCAGAAGGGCTGGACCCCAAACTCAGCTCCTCCATGGGTAAATGGGTCCTGGTTACTTTGATCAGTCGAATGATCAAATGCATCATTCAACCAATGCCCCAAATTGTTTCTGCAACATGTTGCTTCTGCTTAAAGCTCATTCCCAAGGCCTTAATCTGAAAGCATATCCAATGTCCTACAACACGGCCCCTGACCTCTGAAGCCACAGAGAAGAGTAATGGCTCCATATAGCTGCCCTTGTTGCTATGGAAACACAGGGGCAATGGGCGGCATCCCTGCTAGTCCTCCTTTTAAGGAGGGCTGAAATATGCCTCTTACCAGTTCCCAAGGAAAAAGGTGTCGGGGCCTGAACAGCGGATCTGCAGGGGTACCCAAGAGCAGCTGACCCTCAGCAAGGCTCCCACCCCAGCAGGTCAGCAAACAACTGCCTGTGTTTTTTATAAATAAAGTTTTATTGAAACACAGCCATACCTGTCCATTTGTGTATTGTCCATGGCTGCTTTCCTGATACAATAGCAGAGTGAATAGTTGCAATAGAAACTTTCTGGTCTGAAAAGCTTAAAATATTTCTATCCAGCCCTTTAAGAAAATGTATGCAGACCCCTGCTCTGCTGGAGTGTGAGTTAAAAGGCCTCCTCCTCTGGGACTGGGTTAGTTGCTTCTGTCCTCACCATCCATATACGACTTAGTGATGGCCTGGAGAAGAAGGTGCCCCTAGGACTGGGCGTGGTGGCTCACACCTGTAATCCCAGTACTTTGGGAGGCCGAGGCAGGTGAATCACTTGAGGTGAGGAGTTTGAGACCAGCCTGGTCAACATGGCAAAACCCCATCTCTACCAATAACACACACACACAAAAAATAGCTAGGGGTGGTGGTGCACACCTGTAGTCTCAGCTAACTCAGAAATCTGAGGCAGGAGAATTGCTTGAACCTGGGAGGCGGAGGTTGCAGTGAGCTGAGATTGCACCAATGTATTCCAGCCTGGGGGGAGAGTGAAACTGGCTCTCAAAAAAAAAAAAAAAAAAAAAAGATGCTCCTCTAGCCTCTGCTCCATTGCTCCTAGCAGTAAGCACGAATTTCTCCTATTTGTTGGAGGCTCTGACACTAAGACACCTTGTGGCCATTCTGTAAGCTGAGTACTGCTATGACTTTCATTTTGCAGATGGGAAACTAAGCACCCATGAACAAGTGACTTGCCCAGGGTCACCCAGCTAGTTGGCGGTGAAGCTGGAATTCAAACCAGGCAGATCACAGACCCCACACTCTGGGCTACCAGGGACATGATCCACTTCCAAGAAATTGTATGATCCTTATTACACCCATCACCCAAAACCCTTAAGTACTGCAAGCTGACACTGAACCACAAGATCTGGCCCCTCCCACCCAGCTAAATGAATCTGCTAGAGGTGTGTGACCTCCAAATTGCAATCTTCAGGCTGGCTAGTGGCCTATTGTGTTGCAGGAAGTCATATAGAGACAGTAAGCAGCAGCCACGAAGCACGTGGAGTCTGAGGCTGCAGGAGCTGGGAGGTAACAAGGTAGGAAGAAGGAAAAAGAACCAAGAAAAAAACAGCTGACCAGTCCATATTGGGTCACAGGGCGGCTACTGGTTGTACACAGGAACTGCTTTTATATCCTGACCTATAAATGAGGGCCTTCTGCTTCTGGTCTTTCTTATTCTCCACAGATACCTACAAAAAAAATCCCCTTCAGTTGGTACCTAGAGTACATCTTTATTCTTGTAACCTAAACAAAACCTGCTGATGTTCCTCTTTTCCCTTTTTTTCTATCCAGAGGCCCTTGAAGAGTCCCAAGCAGCCTCTCAGGCGCATTTTCTGAGCTCTTACCATGAGCCAGGCACCACAGTAAGTTATTCACAGGTATTACTTATAGGGTACTGACAATTGGATGTATTTATCTTGCCATTTTATAGAACGAGGAGCCAACGCTTGTTGTGATACATTCTTCACTATGGATCACGTGCTAGGTGCCATGCTAAGCCCTTGGATGCAGTACCTCACTTAACTCCTGGAAATAATTTCCAACGTAGGCACTACTGTTCGCCCACCTTACAGAAAAGGGTGGAAAATAAGGTTGGGGATGTCGAGTAATTTGCACAAATTCATGTTGGGGAGGCAGCGAACTTGCATCTGCCTGATTCTAAAATCTGCTATTGTATCACGCCTCTTGTGTTTTGCTGAGAAGTAAATCAAGAAGCATTCAGTTCCCCTGCAGTGGAATAATGGGTATCACCATCTTTGCTCATATTAGCGTCTGTCGGGATGGAGCTGATGGGGCAGGGGTGGCATTCAATAAAGCTATGAAAAATCATTTCTGTTCCATTCCTTCTAGGGATGTGTTAGGATTGTATGTCCCTATCCCTTGTATATTAGGCACAGACAGGAAACATGCTATGGCCAAGAGCAGTGACTGGAACCCATAAGGTGTCATTCCCTGGATACCACAATATCCAGCCACACTCCTGCTGGTGGAGGTCATGCATCCCTGAGTGAGGCCCATGTGGAGTAGAGACTCTACCAACCCTCAGTGTGCAGAAATTGACCCCTGCTGCTTTGAGTCACTGAGATTTGGGGGATCTGTGTTACTGTAGCATGGTCTAACTCATCCCGATTAATCCAGGAGCTAACCTGATCTCCTTTCTTCCTTTGAGCTGAGTCAGGTACAGGAGCCAATTTTTTTCTCCCTCCAACAGACAGAAACATCTATTGACGACTCCCATGCTCCAAGAACATAAATTTAAATTCTGTCCCTAAGCCCATTTTCTAGAAGTTTCTAGAAATGTCTAAAGGGCAGGGAGTAAGCCAGAAGAGCTACTGCCCTGATGGACATCTTCGTTTTCTCTCTTCAGACATATCCTAAGTGTCATTCTGGGGCCCTTCTCTTTCCTTGTTATCAGCAAGTTTCCCCGCCACACAACAGAAAACCTCCACAAACCCCCATTTCAAAAGCTCCTGTTCTCCATCACTTTCTGGCTGAACTTTGCCAAGCAAAACCAGACAGAAAACACTGCGATCATCTCCCTCCACCCCCCACGGCCAATGAAGCTAATCTGACAATCAGAGAATGGCCAATTCCTCTGGCTAATGTGTAATATCAGGAAGAGGCACCACCATTGATTCTGATGGGACTCATGATTAATACCCGCTCTCTACTCAAGACAGGCCACCACAATGGCGATGATTAGCTTGTGGTGGCCCTGTGAACTTCTGCCTGGCCCCAGATGCTACTCAGCTGCCATGGGAACCCAAAAGATTTGAGTATAAGAGGGAAGGAAAATATTTTGTCTTCTGGAAC
This sequence comes from Homo sapiens, assembly GCF_000001405.40. Taxonomy (NCBI): domain Eukaryota; kingdom Metazoa; phylum Chordata; class Mammalia; order Primates; family Hominidae; genus Homo; species Homo sapiens. Next base: position 264,811 of record NW_019805500.1, read on the forward strand.
AAAAGGGCTCACAGATACTAGATCGCTTCCAGAAAAGTCAGAGAGAGGCGCAGTCAGCGAGAATTGGAGGCCTGAGAATTTCTGTCCCTCAGAGTCACTGTCATTTTCTATAGTGACTGCGGCGTTCTCTCTGGCTTCCCCCCTTCAATTCATTTTTTTCTTTTCTTTTCTTTTTTGAGATGGAGTTTCACTCTTGTCACCTAGGCTGGAGTGCAACGGCGCCATCTTGGCTCACTGTAACCTCCGCCTCCCAGGTTCAAGTGATTCTCCTGCCTCAGCCTCCTGAGTAGCTGGGATTACAGGTGTGTGCTACCACGCCCGGCTAATTTTTGTATTTTTAGTAGAGACGGGTTTTCACCATGTTGGCCAGGCTGGTCTCGAACTCCTGACCTCAGGTGATCCACCCACATCAACCTCCAAAAGTGCTGGGACTACTATGATAATAACACTTAACATGAGATCTACCCTCTGAACCAATTTTTAAGTGTGTATTATTGTTGACTATGCAGCTATAGTCAACACTATAGTACTATATGCAACATACAGCAAATTGTTGTATATTGTTGCATGTACTACTATATTGTTGGCTATAGTACTGCACAGCAGGTCTCTATGGCTTCTTCATTGTGCATGCATGATTGAGATGTTATGCCTGTCCATCAGCAACTCCCCATGCTCCTCCCCAATCCCCCAACTCCTGGCAACTACTACTTCACTCTCTGGTTCTAGGATTCGGACTATTTTCGATAGCTGATAGAAGCAGAATAAACACGTGTACTATCTGTCCTTCTGTGACTGGTTTCTTTCAGTTAGCATAATGTCCTCAGAGTTCATCCATGTTGCTGTATGTTGCAGGATTTTCTTCTTTTTGAAGCTAACATCCATTGTGTGTATATGCCACATTTTCTTTATCCAGCCATCCAAGGATGGACATGACATATCACTTCATGTTCCCCCTAACTCTTCATCTGACTGCCAAGGGGCAAACAGATTTTGGCTTTTCTGTCCTTTCTGTGGAGACTCAAGATCCAGAAAGCCAAACCCAGGATCCCTTCCCTTCACAAAACCAATCTTGGGAGGTCTCCAGGCAGACCCATAAAAAATAACCATCATATGCCCAGCACCCAAGTGGCCCATGCTCTGTGTCCTTTGAATCTTCTTGAAAACTCACCAAAACAGACAGTATTAGTACTCCTTAAGAGGAGGAAACTAACATAGAGAGAGGTTAAATAACTTGACCGAGGCTACACTGCTAGTAATGAAGTGATTCAAACTCTCTGTGTCTCAGTTTCCTCATTTAAAACATTGGGATGATAACACCTTGGTATCCATGGGGATGATAATAATATCCATCTCAGGCCGGGCACAGTGGCTCACACCTGTAATCCCAGCACTTTGGGAGGCTGAGGCGGTCGGATCATGAAGTCCGGAGATCGAGACCATCCTGGCTAACACTGTGAAACCCCGTCTCTACTAAAAATACAAAAAATTAGCTGGGCGTGGTGGCACGCACCTGTAGTCCCAGCTACTCAGGAGGCTGAGGCAGGAGAATCGCTTGAACCCAGGAGATGGAGGTTGCAGTGAGCCAAGATCGTGCCCTGCACTGCAGCCTGGGTGACAGAGTGAGACTCTGTCTCAAAACAAACAAACAACACCTCACCTCTTGGGTAATTCAGTGAGGAAGAGTGTATGTAAAACTACTAGAATATGCCCACCACACAAAGCTGGAAGAAGAATGAGCAGTAAACCAGACTGGGGAACTCTACCAATTAACACTCTCTCTCCCCTGACAGTCTCTGCCTAGAGGACAGATGGGTTATTATTTCGCAATTGTGATCAACTGGCATCATCTTCTCTACTCTTCATCAATCCAACTCTCTCACCTTGAGTTATTTATGCTAATGCAACCCTTTGACTTACTTTATTTTAATGTACTTATTACAATGATTGCACATTCAAATGTTTGTGTGCAAGCTCCAAAACTCTAATTGCTCTGCTGTTGCCTTACCTCTAAGCTGCTGCTAGAATCCATTTTTATTCTGGAGAAATAATTAAATGCAATAATGTCCTCCATTCCCATTCAACCTTGGGCATGTTTAGAGTCAATTTCAATCAGGTAGAAATATGCTAAACATAATATGGCTCCGAGAAGCAGGTTACCTGACCCACGCTGCTGCTGCAAAGACACGTGGGTCTGTTTCCATTTTTCCCAGGTTCTCTTGGTTCAGGATGAATCAATACTTAGTCTACTGAATCCTGGCCCCTTGCTCCCATTTCTGAGGGGTGGGGGTGGGTTGCCGTGATTTTTAAACTATCCACCTTTGCTCTTATTGTTTATGTAGGAGAAGACCTGGGTACTAGTATTGCATTAGCTGATGTCCAATTTTCTTATCTGTAAAATGATGTGTCCCGAATGTGTGTTACTAACCATTCTGAGTTAGTTATTAATCAATATATTCAATGAACAAAATTCTGCCACTTCAGCTCATTAAAACAATTCGATGGACCTTAAGAGACCAGGAACTGAGGACAAAATGGAAGCTTCAAAGCGCATCCCGTCTGCAGCCCTATCCCTCTATTATCGTCTATAGCAGCACACTGAGATTCAGAGGTCTGGACTCAGGAAGAAGTGAGTTTGATTCCTCCCTTCTCCATTTGCTGGGGTTCTTCAAGCTGGGACAGAACATTTCGCCTCTCTTTGCCTCAGTTTCCTCATCCATCCCAGAGAGCCGAAGATGGCACCTACTTCCCAGGGACTGAATCGATCAAGCATAGAAGATAGTGCCTGACACGTCCAAAGTGCTTAAGAAACACGTATGTCTTAGGTTCCGTTCCAAGCCTGTTGCATGTACTAACTCATTTAATCTCCATGATGAGCTGATAAAGAAGACGCTATATTTTCTACCCATTTTTCAGATTGGAACATTAAGGTTCAGGGAGGTTAAATGACTAAGTCCACACACCTAGGAAACAGAGGAGCCAGGATTTGAACCCAGGCTGTCTAGGTCTGGAGGTCATGCCTTTCAATACCCCACTGCCTCTCCGCAGCTATTAGGAATAGGGACAGGGCCAAAGGGAAACCCCAGCCAGGTGCACTGCTCACACATGAGGGCGCCTGGCCCACCCGCTCATCGTGATCAGTTTACGGCTTCCTTTTGTGCCATGTGCACGCACAGCCGGCTGGGTAGTTATTTGGTGTTGAACTCAGTGTCCGAGGCTTCGTTCCAATCACCAAGGCTACCAAGGCCACTGGGAGGGACAAACAGGGAGAGGCCTGCACCTGCTTCCAAAAGGACCTCCGTGCCAGGGTAGGCGAACGGTGGAAGCACAGTGTGTGTGGCTGTACCAATTAGAACATGCAATTACCCAGGCTGCCAATGCAAATAGACCTAACAGAGGCCCCTCGTCCAGCTCATCTGCATGCACAAAAGGTGGCTGGCCAGCACTTAGAAACCCGTGGACCACGCTGGACGCAGGCAGGCCCTGCTTTAACAGAACCCTAAGTAAAAAGCCCTTTGCAATGTAGCATCATGTTAATGGGATGCAAAACAGCACAGGGTGAGGCAGGAAGGAGTGAGACTGATAGGGCTGGGTTGGAATCCAGTCTCTGCTCCTTAACTCTGAGACGGAGGGCAAGAGGTTTAACCTCTCAGAGCCTCATTTTTCTCATCTACAAAAGAAGGGGGTAAGAAGACCTACTTTGCAAATGTAAGGTGGGGATTAACTAATATGTCATGCACATATAATTCTATTTAACAAAACAACATTGGGTGAGAGGCTTGATACATGTTAAGCACTCAAGTGGCAGCAGGATGATATTTTAAGCTAGCGCCTTGTCACTTGATGAGCAAGTCTGAGTCTTTTGTTTGTTTGTTTGAGACGGAGTCTCGCTCTGTCGCCCAGGCTGGAGTGCAGTGGTGCGATCACGCTCATCGCAAGCTCCGCCTCCCGGGTTCACGCCATTCTCCTGCCTCAGCCTCCCGAGTAGCTGGGACTACAGGCGCCCGCCACCAAGCCCGGCTAATATTTTTTGTATTTTTTAGTAGAGACGGGGTTTCACCATGTTAGCCAGGATGGTCTCAATCTCCTGACCTCATGATCCGCCCGCCTCAGCCTCCCAAAGTGCTGGGATTACAGGCGTGAGCCACCACGCCCGGCCAAGACTGAGACTTTTTGGAAAGGCAGAGTGTTGAGGCACAGTGGGTTGAAATCTGGACCCTGGCCTTTGCTCACTGTGTGGCCCAGGGCACAGTGCCTAACTTTGTCTGCCTCAGTTTCCTTCTCTGTAAAATGGGGACAATAATGAGTACCCAATCTAATGAGGCTGTTATGAGAATTAAGAGTCAATGAATTTAAAACACTTAATACCTAGAACTTAATAAATATTAGGTATAATTTATTAAAATAGAATTAATGATTGCAATGGTGACTTAAAGTGGTTCTTAAAGTGTGGTCTGGGAACTGTTGGGGGTCCCTGAGGCCTTCTCAGGGGATCTTTAATGACAAACTATTTTCACGATAATATAAAGACATTATTTTCCTTTCTCGCTTACTCTCTCATGAGTGTACAGTGGAGTTTTCCAGAAACTCCACTGCACGTCATACTGCATCAGAAATCAGAAGCAAATGTGAGAATCTAGCTATCTTCTATTAAGCCAGGTGTTACAGAGATTTGCAAAAAATGTAAAACAGTGCCTCCCTTCTTCCTAAATTTGTTTTCGTTGGGGAAAAATATGCATACTTTTCATAAATATATTTTATATACACAAGTAATAGGTTATTATGACTGTTTTTAAGTGAATTAATAAACATTTTAAGAATGCCTTAGTTTAAATATTACTATATAGGAAGTAATTGATAGCACCTACCTAAGCCAAAGCTCTTTGGTGTTCCTCAATAATGTTTGAGACTATACAGCAATCCTGAGACCAAGTTTGAGAACTACTGACATAATACATAAGTACAATCAGAAATATTTACTGATTATTAAAATTAAAAGTTTAGGATTCTTTTATGTAGGCTGTTTTGCTACATGCCAAGCCTTTTGATTTGTATTTTACTTCCATACACAATACACACACACAGAACAGATAGAAATCGAAGTTGAGTGATAAATACTTTTTTTTTTTTTTTTTTTCTGAGACGGAGTTTCGCTCTTTGTTGCCCAGGCTGGAGTACAGTGGTGCAATCTCGGCTCACCGCAACCTCCGCTTCCCGGGTTCAAGCGATTCTCTTGTCTCAGCTTCCCAAGTAGCACGGATTACAGGTGCCCGCCACCATGCCCGACTAATTTTTGTATTTTTAGTATAGACAGGGTTTCACCATGTTGGCCAGGCTGGTCTCAAACTCCTGACTTCAGGTGATCTGCCTGCCTTGGCCTCCCAAAGTGCTGGAATTACAGGCGTGAGCCACTGCGCCCAGCCGATAAATACTTTCCTATAGAGAGAGGAACCCAGGCCCCTCAAGTCCTGAATCATCCTCAGGGAGGAAGAATGACCTGCTGTCAAGAGTTAGTCCTTGATCAAACTCTAGTCAGCCTCCTCTGCCCCCTTTTTCTACTGGGCCTCTCAGCTTTACCTATAAAGACTTGAATGAAATGCTAACGTTGTTTTTCTTTTTCTTTCTTTCTTTCTTTTTTATTTATTTATTTTTTGAGACAGGGTCTCATTTTGTTCCCCAGGCTGGAGTACAGTGGTATGATCACGACTCACTGCAGCCTCAACCTCCTGACCTCAAGCGATCCTCCTGCCTCAGCCTCCTGAGTAGCTGGGACTACACAGGCTTTCACCACTATACCCAGCTTTTTAAATTTTTTGTAGAGACAGGACCTTGCTATGTTGCCTAGGCTGGTCTCAAACTCCTAGGCTCAGGCAATCCTTGGCTTCCTAAAGTGCTGAGATTACAAGCGTGAGCTACCACGCCTGGCCTGAAACACTAACATAGTTTCTCACAGCTCAAGGCAACATCCCTGGGATGACCCCAGCTCCTGCTTAAAGTGACTGCTTTAGAAAACTCAAGGCTGCCAAAATAATTTACTGTTTGTTCCAGCTAACACCTCTAGACAGGGCATCATCTCCCAGCCTCTGTAAGAGAGCAGGAGCCACACTTCATAAACAGCAGTTAGCAAACCCATTTGAGTCACACATAGACCAACCCTCCCTTCCTGCTTTTGGTAATTCTTCACTTCCCTGAGTCCACTGAGCTCATCTCCCTTCCCTCCCTCCCACCTCTCTCCTTCTCCCTTTATTATTATTATTATTATTATTATTATCATTATTTTGAGATGGAGTCTCCCTCTGTTGCCTAGGCTGGAGTGCAATGGCATGATCTCTGCTCAGTGCAACCTCCGCCTCCCGGGTTCAAGCAATTCTCCTGCCTCAGCCTCCTGAGTAGCTGGAATTACAGGCGTGTGCCACAATGCCCAGCTAATTTTTTTTGTATTTTTAGTAGAGATGGGATTTCACCATGTTGGTCAGGCTGGTCTCGAACTCCTGACCTCGTGATCCACCTGCCTTGGCCTCCCAAAGTGCTGGGATTACAGGCGTGGGCCACCGCACTCTGCTTCCTTCTCTCTTTAAAACACCCAGTCACCTCTGAACAAATCCAAGTTGAGTTCAGTTCCATGCTGGATGCTTTTCCTATTGCAACAGGCATTACTGATTAAATGTGCCCTTACCCCTTTCATAGGGTCTGGCTTTGTTTATGTTTGACGCAGCCCAAGGCCACCTAGCCTGGACCTCAAGCCTACAAGGCTAAGTCCTTGGGGTAAAAACCAAAGAGCCCAGCAAAGCGTGCTCAGAGCCCAGCCCCTGACTTAACCCACTCCCCTCTTCCCAACCCCACCAGGGGGACATGACAGTGACAGTCACAGCGCTCAGAGCACCCAAGGGACTGCAGGCAGGTGGCAGGGAAAGATCTGAACTGGCATCTCCTGGCTCTTTCCCTATCAGCATAAGAGACAGCTGTGTGGTACAGAGATACACAGCAGAGGGCGAAATAATGGCAGAGGAGAAAAAGACGAAAAGGAAGGAAATGCAAGAGAAAATGGAACGAGAAGAAGAAACAAACATCAGCTATTGTTTACTATGTGCTGATTACCTACCAGGCACGGAGCTAAGCCCGTGGCTTGGCATCGCTATTCATTCCTCAAAATTATCTCAAAAAGTAGGTCAGGGGTCAGCAAAACACCCTACCACCTGCTTTTGTCAATAAAGTTCTTCCAGGACACAGCCATGCCCATTCGTGCACACACTGAAGGTGGTGCTTTTGTGCTAGGACGGCAGAGTTGTGTAGCTATGACAGAGACTACATGCCCAGAAAAGCCAACATCTGGCTCTCCGCAGAAAAAATGAATGCCCCTTCAAATGGGGCCAGTGAGGCTGAGCCAGGCTTGCCCAAGGTCACTCGGTGGGTAAGAGGCAGGGTCAGAAGTGACGCACAGGAGTCAGACTCCAGAGACAACATGAGGTTGCAAAGTCAGACCCAAGGACAGAGGGAGAGAGAGCAGAGCCTTCCAGAAATGACAACAACCATGTCTGTTTTGGAACAAAATGCCTCACACACAGAAGAGCTTTTCTATGGAGAGAGGCCTCCTAACTGTTTTTTGTTTGTTTGTTTGTTTGTTTGTTTTTAAGTGTCCCGAAGGCTGGCCTCTTCTTCGTTACTATTTGAACACAGTTTGCCTCTAATTAATTGCAGCATTCCATTGCGTTATTCCACAGTTATGGCCACAATACCCAAAGATCCAGAGAGAAAGGGGGTGTGGTAGAGACACAGAGAGAGAGACACACAGAGAAAGACACAGAGAGAGAGAGACACAGAGAGACAAAGAGAGAGACACAGAGAGAAAGATACAGAGAGAAAGATACAGAGAGAGACACAGAGCAAGAGACACAGAGAGAGAGACAGAGAGGGAGACACACACACAGATAGGCACAGAGAGAATGTGAACAACCCAGTCTTGCTTTAATAATAAAGCCTTCTGCGTACCTCTCAGGCAGGGTTTCTCAAGGACAGCGCTGTTGACATTTGGGGCTGGATAACTCTTTGTTTTAGGGGCTATCTTGTACATTGCAGGGTATCTAGCAGCATCTGTGAGCTTTACCCACTAGACCCCAGTCATGTGCCCTTGTTACAACCAAAAATGTCTCCAGACCATTGTCAAATGTCTCCTGGAGTAGGAGTGGGGCAAAATCACCTTCCCACCCCCGACCCCTGCTGGGAACCAGGGCTCAAGGGCCCATACTGGCCGATCTCAGCTGCTCAAATCCTGTTCCCATTCAGAAACAGCCTTTCTTTCCCTCATTTTCCAACAGAAACAGACCCTGGCATCCAGCCAGAGCAGTCAGAATAGGAGAGAGGCTGGTATGAAGAGAGCTGGCTGGAGAAAGGGCCAGAGTTAACCAAGGAAGGGTATTCCAGAGGGGACAGAGGGAGGAGGCTGGCTGGGGTGACCAGGGAGAAATGGCAGCTGCATGAGGAAAGCGGGAGAAGTTAGGGTTCCCGCTAGGGAAGGATGACACAGAAGAGGAGGGACACATTCATTTGGGCAGTGGATAGTCTTTGAGTTGATGGCATGTCTTTTAATTTATTTTTTGTTGTTGGTTTTTTTTTTTTTTTTTTTTTTTTTTGAGACAGAGTCTCGCTTTGTCACCCAGGCTGGAGTGCAGTGGCACGATCTTGGCTCACTGCAACCTCGGCCTCCAAGGTTCAACAAAATCCTCCCACCTCAGCCTCCCAAGTAGCTGGGATTACAGATGCGCATCACCATGCCCGGCTAATTTTTTGTACTTTTAGTAGAGACGCGGTTTCACCATGTTGGCCAGGCTGGTCTCGAACTCCTGACCTCAAGTGATCTGCCTCCCTTGGCCTCCCAAAGTGCTAAGATTACAGGCTTTGAGCCACTGCGCCCGGCCATGTCTCTTAATTTAAGCCAGAAGCCACAACCGGGACCAATGGCTCCTTCAGGCACACAGGTGTCTGGTTCACTCTGTAGACTGTTTTCATTTGTTTAACTTAATCTCGGCCCACATTTCAAAATCTAGAGATTTCATCTAAAACTTTGGATTTCTGCCCCTTCTGGAAACATCAGGGACCTGACAACACTGAGCTTAGATTTCTACGCATGACAGTTGTCTTGAGGCTAAGTAGCGGTCCCATGGTCTCCAGAAGGGGCATCTGCTCTGTCCGGCCCGGCCAGTGTCCCCTTAGCCCTCTGGCATGTCTGCACGCGGTGACACTGCTTCCCACCAATGACACAGGCTCTTCCGGGAGGCCTTCTACCTCCTGAGCTTTGCCTCGGAGATCTCAGAACCCCAAAAGATCCTTGTATTCCAGAGTGTTTGATGGAGGTGGCATTGTCCCTAATGAGGTGTTCTGGAAGCGTGTGGTGGCATTTCCAGTTATCACAATGATTGGGGGATGCTGTTGGCAATGAGTGGGTGGGAGAACATCAGAAACCCAGCAGGACAGGGGAACACTCGTGGCTGGACAATGAAGAGCTGTCCTGCATCCTGCACATCTTCTGAACGTCCCCAGATGTCCTGTGCGTAAACAACTCATTTATAATTATCCAGGCCAGGAGCCTAACTTAGATTTACATATGATACAACATTATTATGAATGGTTTTAACATAGCTGAATTTTCTAGGAAAGTAACTACTGTTTCACTCAAGAAGAGATTTTATATCACTTAGTTTGACCACAGTTTCAGAAAATTACATCATCAAAGGCCACACAAGCTGTGGCTGTGAGTCACCAACACACACATCCATTCCCCGCCTGCATTTGTAACTACTGAATTCTCACTGACTCAATACGCAGTAGCTGACCTCTTCATGTATCCTCCAGCCCCTTGCAACCAAGTGTGGACCACTGGCCAGCAACATCTGCATCACCTGGGAACGTGTTAGATGTGCAGAATCTCAGGCCCCAGCCTGGACCACAGGAATCAGGGTCTGCACATTAACAGCATCCCCAAGCAATTCGTCTGCACATCAAAAATTGAGAAGTACGCCAGGCATGGTGGCTCATGCCTGTAATCCCAGCACTTTGGAAGTCCGAGGTGGGCAGATCACTGGAGTTCAGGAGTTCGAGGCCAGCCTGGCTAACATGATGAAACCCTGTCTCTACTGAAAATATCAAAATTAGCCAGTTGTAGTGGTGGGTGCCTGTAATCCCACCTACTCGGGAGGCTGAGGCAGAAGGATCGCTTGAACCCGGGAGGCAGAGGTTGCAGTGAGCCAAGATCATGCCACTGCACTCCAGCCTAGGCGTCACAGTGAGAATCTGTCTCAAAAAAAAAAAAAAAAAATTGAGAAGTGCTAATGTTGTTGCACCCATCATTCATTCGGTCAGTCAGTCAGTCATTCGTTTATTTTGGAGACAGGGTCTCGATCTGTCGTCCAGGCTGGAGCGCAGTAGCATGATCTCGGCTCACTGCAACCTCTGCCTCCCGGGTTCAAGTGATTCTCCTGCCTCAGCCTCCCAAGTAGCTGGAATTACAGGTGCACGTCACCATGCCTGGCTAATTTTTGTATTTTTAGTAGAGACAGCGTTTCACCATGTTGGCCAGGCTGGTCTGGAACTCCTGACCTCAAGTGATCCACCTGCCTCAGCCTCCCAAAGTGCTGGGATTACAGGCATCATCATTTAAATAATAAAACATATTATCTGTTTATAAATTGCTGTCATATATTTCTTCTTCATACTATTTTAGCAGTCTATTGATCTTTTTTAGAGTTGTGGGTGTTTAAGTAGGATAGAATAAGGCTGGATTTCATTTCTGGTTGGGTGAAAGGAATGTTTTAAAAGATTTGTGACATTGAGCAGGGCTGGGTCTGCTGGGGTTAAAATCACAGGTTTATTCATTCCACATATGTTATTTGGGTGTCCACTCCCTGACAGATGGGGCAGGGGAAAAGGATATAGGAAGGGGAACTAAAGTATGCTTCCTGCTGTTGGTGGAATTCTGAGAAAAGAGAGGAAAGTAAGTATGAATATAAGTTATTTTAATATAGGACCAAAAGGGAGTGTAGGGATGGGTGTGCTCAGGATTTGAATTTCATCAAGGGTGTGGAGCCTCACATGGTCTGGGGTCCAAGGAGAATGGAGGAGACTTCACAGAGAAAGCAGTTTTCCAGCCTCATCTTGAGAAGAAAGGAGCAAGACAGACAAAGGAAAAAAGGGCTTTCCAGGCAAGGGCAAAGCATGTGCAAAGGTGTGGTGAGAGGACCAGCCCAACTCCTTTTATAATAACAACGATCCCAGCTAACACTTAGTGAACATTTACTCTAATGACTGAGCTACACACTTTATATAGATTATCTTTAAAACTCTCAGAGCAGGGCCGGGCACGGTGGCTCACATCTGAAATCCCAGCACTTTGGGAGGCTGAGGCGTGGGAATTACTTAAGCCCAAGAGTTCAAGAGTAGCCTGGCCAACATGGTGAAACCCTGTCTCTACTGAAAATACAAAAATTAGCTGGGCGTGGTGGTGTGCGCCTGTAATACCAGCTACTCGGGAGGCTGAGGGAGGAAAAACGCTTGGACCTGGGAGGTGGGGGTTGTAGTGAGCCAATATTGCGCCACTGCACTCCAGCCTGAGCAACAGAGGGAGACTCCATCTCAAAAATAAACAAACACATCAACAAACAAAAAACCCCAGAACAACTCTATTGGGTAGGTGCAATTAGTATCCACATTTCACAGGTGAAAGTATGGAGGCATAGAGAGGTTAAGTAACTTGCCTCAAATCACACAGCATGGTTATAAACTTACATTGTTACTCCTGTGGGCTGTTAACAACTACGCTTGGCTCAGTGCCCCACAGGTTTCTAAAGTCCCCCCCAGGAGGAAACACCACTTCCACCAAAGGCCCTGGAAGAAAGCAATCACTAAGTGAGCTGATCTTTGGCCTGGGGTGGGGAAGGGAGGAGTCCAGAAGTAAGAGAGTTATCTGAAAAGCCTGGGTTCCTGGTGTAAAGTCCTCTTGCCTGGCTGCCTGTGATTCATTCTCTACCTCTGTTATTTGAGATTCATTTCTAGGTTGGTGCCACGCCCCTGACTCCTGAAAGCCACAAACCACAATATTCTATTTGTCCCCTGGTTTTATTTCCCTATACACCTTCTCTGTCTCTCTTGATTCAACTCCCAGGAAGCCCTCTTGTCCTAACCATCATCCTTCCTCCCCAACATTCTCCGATCCAGGTCCTCTGGGACGGGGCACTTAAGGAGACAAATGGGTCTCCTGCTGTTGAAAAACACCCAGTTTTCAAACTCATCCTTTGCCTGTGTGGGCCCTATCCCCCACACACACCCTGCCACAGTGGGTAATGAATGGTTCACTTGTAAGCTCATTACCGCAGGGCCTCTAAAGAAATGGAAATGCTCACGGAGCCAGAGACATAAATAAGGAGAGGCGCCTGTAAATAAATAAATATAGATGCACATACACACACACAAACCCAGTTAATTTCTATCATCTGAAAGCCGGAACCATTTGGGGTGGGGAGAGAGAGAAAGAAATAGGCTCCTAATATTGCCATCCATGTGATTTCAGAACTGAGCTTCCCCAGAAGCTGCTAATAAATTATTTTTACTATGCAGAGGTACAAATGAATATGCTGCTGTCACCCCCTAAATCTCCTTTATGAGCATGTGTTTGCCTTGGCCCAACCTACTGGGGACAGGGGCTTCCGAGCAAGTTTTCATTGGCCAAGTTCCTGAAGGAGGCTGCCATCTTGAAGGTCTGCTCTCTGTAAGCTGCGGGTGCCCCACTGGCACTTCCTGTTTATGCCTGAGGTTGGCATGGCCTGCAGGACATCCAATGTCGATTGGAAGGCCACAGGAATCAAAGTGACAGCAGTGCCTACACTCAAGCTTTTGGAAAATGATTTCTGCAGCCTGGACTGAGAGCTGCTGTTCACAAGATGGAATGTACCCCTCTTGGCCATATACTTCAATAGGCCCTGACATTTTCTACCAAGTTTCAGGGTGGATATGCAAAAACCTCATCACTACCAACTTTCGCGTGCACTGTCATCATCCAGAAGGAAACTCTGGTCACTCCCTTTGGAGGCAGTGTATCCAATGTCCAGTTCTCCAACTGTTCAGAGCAAGAAGTAGGCCATGGAAATCATGGTGATCATGATATGCTACCAGGACACGATGGGCACCGTCCGATGAAGTTGTTATAAATGTATGCCCTGGAGTCACTCTTGAGGATCTGAAATCCAGCTCTACCACTTCCCAGCTGTGTGACCTAGGGAAAGTCGTTTACCCTCTCTGAGCCTTGCTTTCCTCCTACGTAAACTATCTATAATATCAAAACCTCGCAGGGCTAAAAAGATACGCTGACTTAACCAGTGCAAAGACACAGTTCAGAATAGTTAGCAGTTAATAAAAGGTAGCGGTTACCCACATCATTTCATGCGAACTCCTACAACGACTTTTCATACATTCATTCACAGATATTTACTGAGTGCCAAGTACATCTTAGGTGCTGGGGACATGTCTGTGAATAAGACAGACAGATGCCTGCTCCTATCGAGCTTATATTTTAATAGCATGAGACAGACAACCATCCTACCAACAACTCAATAAACAGATTCTATCACAATGTTGGGCATCTGTTATCTATTTTTATCTATTTTATTTTTATAATTTCAACTTTTATTTTAGATTCTGGGGATCCCTGTGCAGGTTAGTTGCATGTGTGTATTGTGTGATGCTGAAGTATGGAGTATGATTGACCACTTCACCCAGGTAGTGAGCGTAGTACCCAATGGTTAGTTTTCTAACCCTTGTCCCCCTCTAGAAGTTCTCGGTGTCTACTGTCACCACCTTTTTGCTTTTTGTTTTTCCAGACAAAGTCTCTGTCATCCAGGCTGGAGTGCAGTGGCGCGATCTCCAATCACTGCAACCTCTGCCTCCGGGGTTCAAGAGATTCTCCTGCCTCAGCCTCCTGAGTAGGTGGGATTACAGGGATGCACCACCACACCCAGCTAATTTTTGTATATTTAGTAGAGACGGGGTTTCACCATGTAGGCCAGGCTGTTCTCGAACTCCTGACCTCCTGTGATCCACCTGCCTCGGCCTCCCAAAGTGCTGGGATTACAGGGGTGAGCCCCCGGGTTCAACCTACTGTTTTCATCTTTATGTTCACGTGTACTCAATGTTTAGATCCTAATTCCAAGTGAGAACATGTGGTATGTAGTCTTCTGTTCCTGCGTCATTAATTTGCTTAGGATAATGGCCTCCAGCTGCATCCATGTTGCTGCAAAGGACCTGATTTTGTTCTTTTGTATTACCCACTGTTCCCAGATGTGGGAACTGAGGCTCACAGCGGTTATCTCAGCAGGTTTATGAGCCAGAGTTGTCCCACCCAGGAGAGTTTTGGAAGTGAGAGGAGCAACCAGCAAGAGAGGCCGGCTGCCTGGCTGACAGGTAAAAGCTTTGTTTCCTCCTCCTCCTGCCCCTCCTGCCATGATTGACAGAGTGAGACGCCTCCCTGCGAACATGAGGCATCTAGTTCGGGTAGACAGTTTGCTACTGGAGAAGTTCCTTATTCAAGGGGCTGAGCAGTAGTGGCACCTTTTCGTGTATGACCAGCCAGCCGTGCCCAGACTTCTGAAGTCTGGCTGGATTCAGACACCGAACTCCCTTTAGTCCTCAAAGGACCCATGAAACACCCAACACAAGGTGGTTCCAAGAGACCCGGTGGACCGCAGTTGTTCAGGCCACTAGATGGCTCTTTCTGTGAAATTTGCAGAGAGCAAGCCGGCAGCTGCACCTTGATACTGAAGCCGGGCTGCTTCCCTTTGGACAGTCAGGACGCATCTCCGAGAAGTTCTTCTTCATTGCCGCAGGTGGGTGGGTCACTACCTCTTCCTTTAAGGGGTATTCCCATTAAGGCTTTTCACTTCAGAGGAGTTTGACAAGGCGAGACTGGGATTTCCACACTGTCTACTAAATCAAAGTCATTGCCATCATGCAACTTTCTGCTAACTTTCCCAGCTTCAAGGGAAAAGTGGAGCTTCATGGAGCTCCACTTCATCATCTGTTGGCTTCACATCATCCCATCAGAGACAAGCTCCATATAACAGCATCTACTGTTTACCCAAGATTTTGCACGATTCTCTTGTTTCATCCTCCCATTTATCTTTGGTGGAGATATTATCCGATGAGATAGAAAAGTAAACTGTGGCACAGAAAGGGGGTTACATGACTCAGGCAAAGTCGCCCAGGAAGCAAGGGGCAAGGCTGGGATCCATCCTAGGTCTGATTCTGAAGCTTGTACTCTTCACTTTACAGCCTCATCTATGCACAGGGAAGATCCTCCTGAGCTCTGCAAGTGTCCAAACTTAGAATGGGCAACCAAGGCTGACTGTGAACATTTCCTTCCTGGTTGGGCTTTAGGAAGAGAAGCGAAATTTGCCTATTACCTCTACACACCTCCTGAGACCAGGAGAATCCTGGGTGACACCAGGCATTCAAGGATTTCATGATACAGTCTCTCCCTCCCTAATGCACCTTTCAGCGTTGCTACTGGGACAGCATTTCCTGTGCCTTTTTAAATTTAATCCTCTTCACAGCCCTCTCAAGAGGCAGCGCGGCTCTGTGATCAGGAGCATGAATGCTAAAGCCAGACTACCTGGGTTCTCAACTTAGCCGTGCCGTTTTGAAGCTGTGTGACCTTGGGCAGGTTTCCCAGCTGTAGCCAGCTCATGGAGTTGAAATGAGAATTAAGTCAATGTTGGGAAAACACTTAGGACAAGGCCTGGAACACAAATTGTAGCTGTTACTAGTATGATCATTAATAGTAGTATGTCCTTTTTCAACATTTGAGTAAACAGAGGCTCAGAGAGGTGAAGACACTTCCTTAAGGCCACACAGATCAGGGATTTAAGCCATAGCACCAGACCTGGGAGCCAAGCTAATATTCCCTCTCCAACACAGCCCCTTCAAGTCCCAGGCTGGAAGTGAGCTGCCCTTCTTAGCAGTGAAACACCTAGAAAATTGGCTGACAATTTATCGAGGGCGTCTTCAACAAGTGTGTCATTTTGGATACACTGTGGGCTAACTATTGGTGCAGAGAGTGGGCTGAGGGGTCAGCTTCTTCAGCATCTGGCTTCATCCATCTCTGGGTCATTGATGGCTTCTGTCAAGATGGCCAAAGAAGACCACGAGAGTCAGGCTAGGCCTCCTCCTCTGCATATTAATTACAGCCAAGGCAAAATGTGGCCACAGCAGCAGTTAGGGGACAACAGGACCCTGCAAGTCCTCAAGCAGTCAGGCAGAGGACACCTTGGGCACCCCGCCCTCTGCCCAGCACAATCTTCCGTGGCACTGCCGAGGACCTCAGCAAGATGCAGACCTCCAGGGATGTCAGCCTGTCTCCTCCTCTAGGTCTGTCCTCTTTCTGTCCCTCTGTTTGTCCCTCTCCCCTCTCTCAACCACCTCTCCATCATTCTGCAATCAACATCCTGCCCATGGTCAGGGATATCTAAAAAGCTATCCAGGCTGGGCGTGGTGGCTCATGCCTATAATCCCAGCATTTTGGGAGGCCAAGGCAGGCAGATGACTTGAGGTCAGGAGTTTGAGACCAGCCTGGACAACATGGCGAAACCTCGTCTCTAATAAAGCTACAAAAATTATCCAGGCATGGCGGCAGCACCTGTAATCCCAGATACTCGGGAGGCTGAGGTGGGTGAATCGCTTGAACCCAGGAGGAAGAGGTTGCAGTGAGCCAAGATCGTGCCACTGCACTCCAGCCTGGGTGACAGAGCAACACTCTGTGTCAAAATAAATAAATAAATAAAAAGCTATTCATCTTCTGAAGAATGGAGGTGGTCAGATTTTGTCTTATTTTCTGAAACATACTTCAATATTTTCCTAATACAAATATGTGTCAGATATAAAAAATTCCAATACAATCTAGATTTATGAAATAATTCAAAATGTATTAAAATGTACAGAAAAATAATACAGTGCCCTTCCATGTACCAATTTTGTTATGTTTTATTCAATTATTTAAAGAAATTAGACTTTGCAGAGACAACTGGGAAGTTCCTCCCAGCTTTCAACCACCATCTCCCAACCCAGAGGACACTTCTATCCTTCACATTCATGTATTTATATTTTTAGTTAATACGTATGTGTTCACATACAATGTATAGTGTTATTTTGTGTATCTGTAAGTTTGACAAAAGGGCACCGTGCTGTAAATATCTCCTTTGCGTTTGCTTGTGTCATTCAATATTAGCATTTCTACCCCCATCTCCTCTCTCCTTTTATTTTCTCTCTTCTCAATTCTTCTTCCCTCAGGTAACATGATGCAGAAGGAATGACAGCATTTAGTTCACCAATTCTCAGCCTTGCCTTCCCATTGGACTAATCTGGGAGCCTTCACAAAATGCAGATGCCCAGGTGCCCACACGGGAGATACTGGTTTAGTGGGTTGGGGCTGGGCCTGGGAATCACGATTTCTAAAAGCCCCCAGACAGCGAGGGGTAAGCAACTGGATTTGGCCCCTCTTTCAGCTTTGGGTACCTGCTGTGAATCAAGGTCACTCCTGCTCAGAGGCCAGGTGAAGGAAGCATCTGATAGGCTGGCCTGCAGCATCCAGGGGAGCGGCTGAAGGACAGGTACTAGAGCTGGAGGCAGGCATCAGAGCCCCAGTGCCCGGTCACGCCCGGGGTTGTGACTCTGCTTGGCTCCATGCAGCATCCAGGGGAGTGGTGGAAGGACAGGTACCAGAGCTGGAGGCAGGCATCAGAGCTCCGTTGCCTGGCCACACCCGGGGTTGTGACACTGCTTGGCTCCATGGTACTCTGTGGACCCTGCTCCCACCATCTGTAAACTGAGTGTGCTGGGTGAGGGCAGTACTTCCTAACACTTCCTCCCTTCACTGGATAATTTTACTTGGCTCACATTTAAACATAAACATTTATGTTGTTAAAAAAAATGATGGTCATGATTCCTAAAATTCAAACAAAAGGAAAAAGGAACAATGCTATGGAACCCTGGCTAGACCAAGTTGCCTGGCTAAGGCTCTGAACCCAGAGAGTCCTTTGTCTGTTGCACAGGGAAATGTGTAAGTGTTGGCAAGGTGTTAAGGACATCAGCACCGTGCTGAGACTTTCTCATTGGTTTAATCCAAGAGATTGCAGGAGCACTGGAAAGGCAATCATTTCCTCCCTGGATGATTCAAAGTTATTTAATATCCACAGAATCCCCGCAAATCATCTTGGGTGCCACCGTGGGCCACAAACACTTCTTGGAAACACATGGACCTGGGTCAGTCCCTCTGGTCCCTTATCACATGGATGCTGTAGGGTTCTATGGTTCTATGGGCCATACCTGAGATTCCATTACAGGGGAATGTCACTCCCCTCCCTTCTCTCTCAGTCTCCCAGAATGGGGATGGATGAAGAGATCCAGGGTGAGCTATAATTCCCCTCACCCAGCCTTAATCTGGCTGTCTTCCCGGCCAGAGCTCTCCAGGCAACTCCACTTTCTACCTCCAAATAATGATGGTAGTACTAAGTGCAGCACTGACTGTATGCTAGGAACTGTTCTAAGCACCCTGCATGGTCTAGTCCTTTTAAACTTCATGGCAGCCCTAGGGGGCAAACACAGTCAGCACTCCTATTTCTAAAATGGAGAAACTGAGGCACAGGGAATAAAATACCTTACTGAAGACCCTCACCCCAGCCCCCGACTTCCCTACCCCCTGGCCAGTAAGTAGCCACGAACAACTGTACTACAATGCCCTTTTGAATGGCGGGGGTGCTGACAGCTGTCTATTTGCTCTAAAGATGTGGCTGCTTCAGGGAGCAAGTGAGCAGGGGGAGAAAGAGGAAAAGCATTTTTAGAAATTATTTCCGACAGGTGACCACATACTAAAATAACAACATTTGGTTTGCCTTGCTAGCTGGAGGCAAAAATCGGCTCAGGTGGGAGGGTGAGGCTGCAGGCTAAATGCAGACAAGGCTGGCTTGCCCTGAGTTGGCCCAGTTCTAGGAAGGGCACCGGCATTTCTGCCATTAATTGATGCACTGGGAACCCCCAGCTTGGTTTTCTTTAAGGAGAGAAGGAGCTGGGTCTTTCATGGTGTAACTGTGAAAATGAGAACCTCCCAGGGGCTGCAAGACCTGGTTGTATATGGAGTCCAGTGAGCTATTTTAGGGACGAAGTGTAAAATTGTGGAAAACAGTTGTAACACAGGATGGGGTGTGTGTATGAATATTTTTATTGAAAGCAAGAATATTTACTGCATACTTACTATATGCCACTGTTGTAAGGGATTAACCTGCATTACACTATTTCATCCTTGCAAGGATCCTTAGATATAGCTACTATTGCTAACCCCATTTCACAGACAATGAAACTGACACACAGCAATAAGTCACCCCCCCCAAGTCACACAGCTAGTAAGCAGCTCGTTCAGAGCATAAAATCCAGGGCTCATCACCTCCAAACTTCACATATTGCATGCATAGACCCACATTTCCAGAACGCCTAAGAAATTCCCAGTCATCCAGCACGAGTGGATGGAAATGAAGGGGCACATCCCGTCCTCGCTTGGAAGGAAGAAGGAGCTAGCCCTGGAAAACTGACAGACTGGCACGTCTGGAGGCAAAGCCAAGCCAACGGGAGCAGATGGAGCCCAGGCAGCAGATGTTAATACAGTTTGCTTTTTCCATATGCTCTTCTGTTTAGCTGTAATAAGTGAATTGTTCTTTAATATCTGTCAGGAGCTCAAACTCTGAAGGCCGGGGGCAGTCACAGTCACTCAAAAAGACACAAAGGGAAGCTGGCCAGCCGTCTCTTCACATCCCAGAGGAAGGGTGCAGAATGTGAAGAAAGATGCCAAACACAGCAAAGTCCAGGTCTTTGTGTACACACACACGCATGTGCACACATAGGCACACACGCACACACTCCTCGCCTGCCATGACAGTGAGATTCTCACTTGACATTCTAGAGTCTTTGAAATCCTGCCTCAGCGTCCTTCCCACTCAGTAATAACAACTAAGTAGAATTTTCAGATTTTGCCTTTGAAATGACAACAATGAAAGACCCAATTTGAAATGTATAAAGGGCTCCAACGGCTTTGCTCCTTGGGACTTCCAACGCAACCACAACTCATTTCCTTAATCAAGGGCAGCAGGGCCACTGCAGAACCCTGTCTTCTGTCTTAGGATACTTCACGTGTCTTGGGACATCCAGCCCCATCACTATTATCACATAGGGGCGGGGTGTGATGGTGACGTCTGTGAACAGTATTTCTTCAACGATATTTCCATTTGACAACCATGAATTAGGACTCTCATATAGTCTCACCAACTTCATCTTCTTTCTAAGTATCCAGCTGTGATACTGTTATCCGCACTACCACTATACACCCGCCCAGTCAGAGAATAAACACAGAGGGAAGGTCCCCTGGTCCTCACAGTTCCAGCTCAACATAGAGCAGAGGTTGAGTTCTGAGCTAAACCTCAGCATTATCCCTTAAAATCCACGTGACCTTGGGCAAGTTACTTCTGACATTTCTAAGCCTCAGTTTCTTCATCTATTAAATGGAAAGAAATAGCACCTTCCTCCCTCAACAGTCCTGTTGCGAAGATCAAATGTTAAGAAATGCAGGTTAAGTGTTCAGCACAGCAACCGGTACTTAGCAAACACTTACTGAGGAGCAGCTACTATTTTTTTATTATTACTTCTATTTCTCATTCATTCATTCATCCCACTAACACTGGAGCACCTTCTAGGCAACATACATTGTGCTAGGTGCTCAGTAGTGAACAAAACAGATTCAGCTCCTGCCCTAATGGAACTTACATTCTACAGGGGGAGAGATAATAGAGAAATAATAGTTGTCCAATATGATATGACCTGGGGATGAGTACTTTAAAGAAAGATAAGACAGGAGAGAGGCAGCGGATGGCATTTCAGATGGGGTCAGGTAGGAACTCTCTGAGGAGGTAGCATTTGGGTGGCCCAATGGTAAGATGGAGCTTCTCCAAACACATACCGGGCAAAAGGTACCAGGCAGCAGGAATGGTAAAAGCAAAACTCTCACAGCTGGGGATGGTGCTGTGCACCTGTAGTCCCAGCTACTTGAGAGGCTGAGGCAGGGGGATCACTTGAGCCCAGGAGTTCGAGGCTGCAGTGAGCTACGACTACACCACTACACTACAGCCTGAGTGACGGAGTGAGACTCTGTCTCTAAAAATTAAAAATTTAAAAAGCAAAGCTCTCAAGGCAGAAATGGTCTAGGACCAGTCTAGCAGCAGGAAGAGGAAGATGGGGCTGTGATATGGAGAATAGACTCATACAGCACAGGAAAGCAAGATGGGGCTGAACCTGGGTACACAGAGAGGAGAGAAGTCCGTATCTCATTCTAAGTGCACTGGGGAGCCACTGGGGGCTTAAGCAGGAGAGCATGCCAGATCTGACTGATGGATCCTGGAAGAGCCCACTCACCCACTGCTCACAGATGCAGAGAGAGGAAGCAGGGGCAGAAACAAAGGTGGATGCAGCCCTGGCCAAGTCCAGACTGAGATCAGAATGCATTGCCTGGGTGCTGCTCCAGCCTCTTCTCTCCGGGGTGTTGCTGGGGAGGGATGAGGGAAAATGCACAAGTGATGGGAATTTACTTAGAAGTTTCTGGCTGCAAGCTTGGGTGACTAGAATCACCCAGGACCCCATGGTAGTGATGATCTCACACCAGCAAATGGCTTTAAATCAGAATTCAAATGAGTCTGGTAAACCAGGATAAAGTGTGTAATTTAAAGCATCCCGGAAGCCCTGGGAACTTGCGCTAGATGCTTCTCGATCTGCTCTCAGGGGATCTCCAGCATTATTCTGGAGAGATCTGGTAGCAGAATTAATGACTCTGGCATTTCCCACCTGATCTAGGGCTTTGATCCTTCCTGCCCCATGACTGTCTCAGAACCAAAGGTTGTGGGACAATGGGCACTGTGCATGTGCCCAGACCAAGAATCAGCATTTAGGCCTGGCTGCAAATTTCACCATCATGCCCGGGGGCCCTGCTTTCTGCTGATGTTTCAGCCAGGAATGCCAGGCCCTTCACCCCTCACCCTGGCTTGCATTCAAATGACCCCTGCCTCTGTCTCCTTCACCAGACTTTCTCCTCCTCCTCTATGCCTACAGAACACTTTTACCAACTCCACTACAGAACTTTCCACCTGAATTGCTTGTTAACATGGTATAGCCCCCTAAAAATGTGTCCTTCTGAGGAGCAGAACTTATTCAAGTTTATAACCCCCAAGGGTCTAGCCCCAAACCTGGTGTATCTCTGTGTGTGTGTGTGTGTGTGTGTGTGTGTGTGTGTGTGTGTGTGTCCATGTGTGTGTGAGTGAGTGAGAGAGAGAGAGAAAGAGAGAGAGACAGAGAGACAGAGAGAGACTGTGTTATGCCAATATCAACATAAACAGCAGCTAACACAATGGGGGTCTGGGCCCACGTGCCTCTCTGCTAATCACTAACTTTCATGATCTTCTCTGACCCTCACAATAAACCTGTCATAGAGGATCTATTATTACTCCAAACATACTTAGACTCAAAAAGGCTAGGACATTTGCTCAAGGTCCCGGCACTAGTAATTGGTAGGACTGGAATTTGAACCAGGCTCATGTAAGCTCATAAATCAAGACCCTTCTCCACCACACTTACTTGAAGGGGTAAACAGAGACTGAGCAATATGTGGGAGGAGTGGGTGGGAGGCTGGGGAGGGAGGTATGGAATAAATAATCATGGAAGGGGATGGCAGATGGAAATTAGAGAAATTAATACATCCAAGAATGTTCTCAGGGTTTTGGTCAAACCATGGACTGACTCACCAATATAAAGACCACTCTCCTTGTCATCCCAAACCATTCACCTTCAAGTATCCACGGATCTGCACTGTCACTTTCTTAGCCCAGGTCAACCTGTCACCCATGTGGATCCTTGATCAACACAGCACTAAAATTGTATGTAAAACTGGCTTAGCTAATACTCATTAGCTAGCCACACTTAGGCACATTACGTATATTAGCTTCTTGAATCCTCACAACAATCCCCATGGATAGGTATCATCATCATCCTCATCATCATCATCCTCATCATCATCCCCATCCTTGTTGTAAGGTTTTCCAGCAAGCAATGGAAGACGGGGACTTGAACCCAGGTAATCTGCCACCTTCACCACAAAGTATAGCCATCGTTGATTGTGTCCTTACACTGCTCTAAGCATCTCCCCATGTCTTCTGCTTTAAGCAAACTTATGAGATGGGGAGTGTTTTCATTCCAATTTTACAGATGAGGAAACTTACGTTCAGAGTTCAAACCCTGAATTCTGTTCAGGTGTTTGGGGAGGTCAAACCCACCAAACACCACCCAGCCAAGGCCACGATCATTCACTGATCCTGCAGCTTTATGAGAATAATAAAAAAGATTCCCCTTACTCTGGGCAATTGCAGCCCTGAGTCTACAGTATGCCTTGATGACCAGAGTGTAGGTGAATTTTGGCTCCTACTTAACTCCCTCCTGTAGTTATATCCTGAACAAGCATACGCAGAAACACTGCAGCCAGCTAAAAATAGGCAGAACTGAGATTCAAACCCAGGCCTGGCGTGGATCTAGTTTTTCATCATGTAGATGCTCCATCACCCACTCAGACACCACTCCCCCTCTTTTTTTTTAATCCAGTTCAAGAATCAACCCAATCCAAGGCTGCTCAATTAACGCTCAGTGCAGTATCCTCAAGCAGGCAAACGCTCAGAACGTAGACGGATCCCTCTAGATCATACTCCTCCCACCTCCTGGGGCTGTGGCCACTTCATCACAGTCTCAGAAAAAACTCTGGGCTCACAGAAGGTAACTCTGCACCATGAGACAATTTGTCGAATCCTTGCAGCCGGTACCGCATGTGGCCAAATCTCCCCACCCCAATCAGGCAGCCACTTCACACAGTGACCTTTCCTGATCTGCACTGTCAGGCTGCAATTTAGCCATTCTGAGGACTCTGTTGGAGGCTGCTTCAGCCAAAAGCTTGCCTCTGGGGAGCCCTCCCAGGGCCCTGGACTCCGTTCAGATGTCACTTTGCATTAAGGGCCCACTGTGTGGGGCTCCTGGAGAGGAAGAAAGCAAATCTCTGCTGAATGTCCCTAAGACAGAAGTCAAGTGAGGAGCAGGGGAGGCAAAAGAAAGACAGACAGACAGACGCTGGGCATCTAAAGAAGGGGTGGAGGACTGGTAGTTCCAACTGGCAGCAGAAATAATAATACCAGGAGCTTAACATTTACCAATCACTTAGGAAAAAAGATTAATACTAAGTGAGAGTTTAAGATGTGCCAGGAACTCTATTAGGCATAATTTTTCTTTTTTTTTTTTTGAGACAGGGTCTGGCTCTGTTGGCCAGCTGGAGTGCAGCAGCATAATCGTAGCTCACTGCCACCTCAAGTGAGGCTCAAGTGATCTCCCACCTCAGCCTCCCGAGTAAATGAGACTACAGGCATACACCACCAGCTAATTTATTTATTTATTTGTAGTAGAAGATGAGGTCCTACTATGTTGCCCAGGCTGGTCTCAAACTCCTGAGCTCAAGCCATCCTCCCGCTTCGGCCTCCTAAACTGCTGGGATTACAGGTGTGAGCCACTGGGCCCCACCTAGACATAATTCTTCAGGTGGGGGCCGGTAACAGTTACTCCTCCCTTCTCCAATATAAAAATAGTGCAGTGTCCAAGCAGAGAGGCTACAAGATAAATCAATTGCCAGCAAAACCCTTGGTGTATAACTTAGCTATACAGTTTCACTCATGGCAAGAGTAACGGCAGCTGGGATTTCTTACTTACCTCCTACCTGTCAGGGATTGTGTGTGATTCTTTTGTTCTTCTTGGGGCTTGTCTTATTATGCTTATTGTAGACCGACTGTACTGATGGTCCCAAGCAATGGCCTGCTGTATGCTTGCCCTTGGCAATGTGCCCTGCTGCTTCTCCCAAGAGGTTGAGATGACTTGTCCATACCTTGAATATGGGCAGGTCATGCGACCTGCTTTGGCCAAAAGAAGGTAGCAGAGGTGACCCTAAGTTTGGCTTCTCTGTCTTGGAACCCTGTCACTGCCATTTGCTCTCTACTGGAGGATGAGAGACCACGTGGAGGCGAGTCCAAATGACTTTCCTCTCAGTTGAGATAATCCTAGACCAGCTTAGAGGCAGCCAATCTCCAGACATGACAGCCCAACTGAGATCAGGAGAACCACCACTGAGACCAGAAGAACCATCTAGCTCACCCAAAGACTCTTGAACAGTAACAAATAAAAATTTCTTACCGTTTTACCCCACTGAGTGTTGAGGTGATTTGTTAAAACATCCCAAGAATACAATAAATAGATTTTTTTAAAAAACCTGAGCCTCAGAGACATAAAGTCACTTGTCTAAGGCAACCCAGCTGATAAGAGATGGAGCTGGGATTCTACACCATTGTAAGTTTTCATCCACGATGATCTATACCTAGGGTCAAGAAATCATTTTCTGTAAAGGACTGGCTAATAAATATTTTAGGCCTTGTAAGCCATACAGTCTCTGCCTCAACCTCTCAACCCTGCCATTGTAGAGTGAAACCAGTCATAGGGCGTATGTAAATGAATGGTGTGCTGTGTTCCAATAAAACTTTATTTCTAAAAACAGGTGGAGGGCCAGATTTGGCCTGTGAATGGCAGTTTGCTACCTCCTGCTCTAGGTTGCTTCTCTGTATCATCACCATTTGTGCCAGCTTTTTTCCCCTTTCTCTGTCTGTCGCCTCCCTCTTTCCCTCCTCTAGAATTTCCACATAAAATCCCGCAATTGTCTTCTGCCATGTTTATGTTCTACCCTGAGACATGTGACAAGTACCTCTCAACTCAAGGGGCTTTGTTTCCCCAGCGTAAGTGTGTCTCAACTCCCTGATTTCATAAATCTATGTCATTTCCAGAAATCAGTTTGACTGATGTGTTTTCCCAATGTTAGGATGATATCTTTCTGGATTCCCTAGGTATGGGAATTTAAAAAGTTCTGATTGCATTCCAAATCCAAGACCCAACATCATCAGGGTGACAGTTGAGAATGCAAATGACTCCTATTCAGAATATTAAAAACAAAAGCTTCAGTTCTGTACCTAGGAAAATTTGACTGGCTCCAAAAAAAAGTTTGCAAAAAACCAAAATGAAAACAAAACAAACGCAAACATGCAAACAAAACAAAACCCCAAACCCAGAGTGATGCAGAGGAAAGTCTAAGAGCTGTTTCATGATCCCACACACCCCGTCTCTGGGGCAACCTCTCTGTAAGAAGCAAGAAAGGAAGATGACGATGACTTTCTGCAGAGAACAAAAATTTGGCTTGAAGCAAATGAAATCCCAGTGATTTTCCATTTTAAGGATATCTATCTCATCCAAAAAATAAAATGTTATAATAGATTTCATTTTTTCCATCTCTTTCTTGTTCTTTTTGCCTCTTAGCTGTCCTACTTAGAATATCGAACCGTGTTGGCAATCAAAGTAGACTCTGAACTTGGCTACTTTCTCCTCAGTTAAAAGAAAAAGAAAAAGAGGTAGACTTGAGTGTTTAGCAAAGCAGCTCATCCAGTTTAGAGGCTGAAAGCCACATCTTCAAAATTTCAACCAAGGAAAGTTAGGGTTAGTGTCAAACTTTCCATAATTTTTAACAACTTTCTAAGTAAAACTAGAGATGTCTATCTGGACTGACTTTAATTTTAAAAGTCTAAAGCACCAAAGGCAGCGGAAGGTCCATCTCATGTTTCATTACGGTTAAATTCTATTTCCAAGAACCACCAACCTCAGTCCCGGGACCTGGCATGGATGAAGCTATTTCTGGAGGCTGCCATGACTCTTGGAGCCAAGAACAAAGTGGAAGGAGACGCCTTACAGGCAGGGGCCTTCAACCGCATGGAAGTACCAGCAGATCCTGTGTTCAGAATCCCCTACTGTACTCTTAGCTCCCCAAACTGTTGAATCGACCCAAGGAGGTGTCAAAGCCTACCATGGAGCATGCACTTGTAAATGTCTGCAAATGACATGGGCTTTCTCTGTGTTAGATGTGGAATAATCACTACTAACATAATTATCTCCATTATAAAGATGAAGAGACTGAGGCCAAAGTCCAAGGCCCACAGCTAGTGAAGGGCAGAGCTGAGATTCACAGCCAGCTCATCTGACTTCAGGGCCTATCTGAAACATGACAAAATAACTGACTTGGTAAATGATCCTATTAATTTGGGTGATCAGATAGAGGTGGTTACAATGTCCTGGGGTGGATCAACACCCTGGCTCTGCCACCAAATCCTGATCCTCCTCAGGCCACCTGACAATTGTCTTATTTTATTCATTTATTTATTTTTGAGACACGGTCTCTGTCACCCAGGCTGGAGTGCAATGGCGCAATCATATCTCACTGCATCCTCAGCCTCCCAGGCTCAAGGGATCCTCCCACTTCAGCCTTCTGAGTAGCAAGGACTGCAGGTGCACACCACCACACCTGGTTAACTTTTTTTTGGCAGCGACTGGGTTAATATATGATTTAGTGGGCACCACCACACCCAGCTAACTGGCTATTTATGACTTTTTTGTAGAGAAGAGGTTTTGCCATGTTGCCACAGGGCTGGTCTTGAACTCCTGGACCCAAGCGATCTTCCTGCTTTGGCCTCTCAAACTGCTGGGTGTGGGTGTGAGCCATTGTGCCTGGCCTAATTGTCTCATTTTAAAAGAACTTTCATTCAATGAGCAGCATATGTAAGATGTGGGACCTGTGAGGTTGGCAGGCTGAGGTTATTTCCCATTACACAGATGTCGAAACTGAGGCCCAGGGGTCCTGCCCACTGTTACCCACCTGGTAGTGGCACAGTCAAGTATGAACAACAGATCCTGTGTGTCCAGCCCAGAACCAATAGAGGGGTTTGGATTTGGGTGGGGTGGAACACACCCACCTCAATTTTCCCAGCCTCTGTCTGTTCTAAGGCCAGAAATCCTCTGAGGCCCCTGAGCTGTGTTTTCCTAAAGCTCTGAAGGTCAAATACGGTGCTGAGGACCTCACACTTAGAATGTGCTGAGAAGGGGTACAGGAATGAAAGCTGCTGGCTTAAGTGAAAGACATATACAAAAAGACCTGGAAATTGTATTTTATCGCAATAGCTATTTATTCCTGCTGTTCGGTGTTACAAAAATGCCATGTTCCAAAAAGGCTTAAACAAAAGACACTGTTCCACTGACCAAAAATTAAACAGATAAAACACAGTGTGGGGACGAGGTGTGGTAAGGAAAGGAATGAAGAGAAAAGAATATGATAGGATGGCCAGGCACGGTAGCTGACACCTGTAATCCTAGCACTTAGGGAGGCCGAGACCTGTGGATCTCTTGACCCCAGGAGTTCAAGACCAGCCTGGGCAACATGGCAAAACATCGTCTCTACAAAAAAACCCATAAATAATTAGCCAGCTAGCCGGGCATGGTGGTGCCCACTAAACCATACACACACACACACACACACACACATATACACATATATATCTGTGTGTGTCTATATATATGTTTTTTGAAAGGTTCTAAATATTATATATATTATATATACATGATGGGAAATTCAATTTGCCACCAGAAGCATTTAAAATAATACCATAGGTTTTATGAGAGATATGACCTCTGTCTCTGAGCTTATGAGACATGTGAGAGATATGAATTGTCTTTGAGCTTCCTAGCAGGCAATGCAAAGAGGGAAACACAATTAGTTATTTGAATCTGTGTCACAGACGAGATTCCTCACTTCACAAAAAAAACTCTCCCATCTCTATTTTTTTCGTGTTATTATCTCTTGATTGTGTTCTGTTTCTCACATATCAGTTCCATCTCTGTATTTGCTGAGCTGATCTGTGTATCCAAAATGACCTGCTGTGCAGGGCTCTTCACAATAGCCCCTGAAATTCAGAGAGGCTGGCTGATGTGGATCCCTGTACAGCTCTGGTATAGTCAAGTGTTTATTTACTGAGCGTCACCTGAACAGACTGGCGATGAAGGAGAAGTTTAAAACCACTTTGGTAGGAGACGATGCCACCAGAATAGCAATGGGAAATGAAGCAGAGAAATCCCTGGCATTAAAGTTGAAGTGAATGAGAAAAGCACATTTGTGTTGACATCATCCCTGTTGGCCCACACATGGTCTTTCAGAAACACTTTCCTGCACAAAGTGGGGCACATGGGAATACAGAGGCCACTTCCTCACATCTCTCCACACTTTGCCCAGTCCCACGGTCAGGGATGAGACGTTCATCCACTTCATCTCAGCCCTGAGCACTAAGGGGGCCACAGTGGGCAGGGTCACTGTGTGGGAGCCTCAGGAACCAGGACTCTGGCACATGCTGGGCAGCTCCATGCAATGGAATTGTAAGCTGAGTTGGGCTCCCTGCAGGCATGGGAGCATTTCAGAGCCAAAATTCCCACCTGCAGCTACAAGCAAAGAGAGTGGAGGTCCTACTTTAGCTAACCCGTAAAGCGGGCACTTCCAAGAAGACTTTTACTGGAACTCTGTGCTAGAAGATTGGGAAGTTGATTCTCTGTCGGCTACCCCCACTGCTGCCTAGGGGTCCTGGAAGGTTGGGAGGGGAGGAGAGGTGACTGCAGGACAGGGTATCATGGCATCCCCGAGTTTACCTCCACCAAACACACCCAAAACCTCTGTTTAACACCCAACAACTAGTATTTAATTTTCATTCCGCTGACCTGGGAGCATCTCTCTAATGGAACTTCCACTTAGCATAGCCACTGAAGTTCCCCAGGGACAGTGGTACCAATTAAATAACGTGACACTTTGGAGGTGTAAAGCTATGTATTTACTCCCAAACCAGAGGCTTGGGTAGTTTTTAACATAAAGATTTTCTCCCTCCTTTTTTTTTTTTTTTTTTTTTTTTTTGAGACTGAGTCTCCTTCTGTAGTGCAGCGGCACAATCCTGGCTCACTGTAACCTCTGCCTCTTGGCTTCAAGTGATTCTCCTGTCTCAGCCTCCTGAGTAGCTGGGATTATAGGCACCCATCACCACACCCAGCTAATTGTTTGTAATTTTGGTAGCGACAAGGTCTTACCACGTTGCCCAAGCTGGTCTTGAACTCCTGAGCTCAAGTGATCCTCCCTCCTCGGATGCCCAAAGTGCTGGGGTTACAGGCGTGAGCCACCACGCCCGGCCAGAATCTCTCTCTTAAGAGTCACCACTAGTGCCCAATGTTTACTGTTCAGAAAGGTCATTGCCCAGCAGTTGCAGGCAAGAAACCCTGGACGCATCTTGGGGAAATGCATCTAAACAATGCAGAGCAGAAGACAGGAGGGGTTCATGCTCTGAGTACAGGCTCTGGGGTCAGAGAAGAATGGGTCCAGATCCCAGCTCCATGGCTGTGCAATCTTGAACAAGTTGCTTAACCACTCTGGGCCTCACTGTCCTCACCTGTAAAATAAGGTGTTCCTGAGGCATTAGGAATGCCCTGGGCGACTGTGCTGAGAATGCAGGAGCAGTTACAAGGCTAAGCAACTGTTCCTCTGAAGGGGTCCCCTGCTCAGCAGAGCCTCAAAATTTGGTCCTGTCTCTGCTTAGGGCTTTCTGACAAAGCAGAGTGGGGAAGGGAAAGGGAGGTTTCTGGAAAAGCCAGTGGCCAACTTCTGGGTACCGCGGACAGGTGGCAACACCTGTCCAAGGACCAGGCATCTCTCAGGCTGTTTCTAGGCTGCTCCACATGAGGGAGAAATGATGGGCTTTGCTGGCCAGCCCAACACCGTCAGAGGGCATGTTACTGCTCGAAAGTACAAAATAAGCAGAGTGCGCATAACTAAACACTATTTTTATCGTCTTTCCGCCACTCTCATGCCACAAGCAAGAGCTGCTGTGTAAGGGAGGGTGGCAGGGAGATGTTTATTCAGAGCATGGGGTGGCCTGAATACCAATGGGGCCAGTTGAGAGGCTGTGTTGTAAGGGCTTTTAGGGGACAGCACCCAGGAGAATCGCAGCCACCCTCAAGGCTGACCTAGGAGACAAAATTGCCTTCCTCCCCAAACTCAGCCCTGCACCCTGCTGCCCTGGGTGAGGACCTTATCTTTCCCCCACCTAGGAATCTGCAAGGGTATCTTTCCCTTAGCATCAGGAACAAAACTTACCCTCCAGCTCTGGGCAAGAAGGATCTGAAAATGACAGTTCTAGGGTCGTTTGGGGCAGGTACAAGCACCCTTATTCCTGGTGTCCAGACAGTGCATGGTGTAGGTATACAGCAGGTACTAGATGACAATTCCATAAAAGAAGTAACATCCAAGGGCTTGGGAGGCATCTACGAAGAATGGCAACAAAACCCTTGCCTTCACAGAACTTTATTCTAGCACAGGGACACAGAAAGATGACAGATATAACAAATAGTGCACAGAATAGGGTAGAAGAGAGAAGTCAGTGGTTAGGATGATGCAATGGGTGCATTTCTTAATAAGGTGGTCAAGGCAGGCTTTAGACTGAAAAGGTGAGGTATAAGCAAAGACTCCCAGTGGGTAAGTGAGCATGCTGCTTGGCTAACTGGGAAAAAGCATTTCGGGGACAGGGAAACTGCTGTGCAAAGGCCCTGAGGTGACAGCAAGCCTCACGTTGCTGGTGGAGACCAGCAAAGAAGCCAGGGTGGAGGAAGTAAAAGATGAAAAACAGAAGCTTAGGTCAGGAAGAAATGGGGGATAGATCAATAAAGCATTATAGAGCCAGGTTTTTGTTTTGTTTTGTTTTGTTTTGTTTTGTTTTGTTTTTGGAGACAGATTCTTGCCCTGTCACACAGGCTGGAGTGCAGTGGTACGATCTCGGCTCACTGCAACCTCCATCTCCCAGGTTCAAGCAATTCTCCCACCTCAGCTTCCAGAGTAGCCGGGATTACAGGTGTGTGCTGCCATGCCCAGACAATTTTTGTATTTTTAGTAGAGATGGGGTTTCACCAGGTTGGCCGGGCTGGTCTCGAACTCCTGACCTCAGGTGATCTGACCACTTTGACCTCCCAAAGTCCTGGGATTATAGGCGTGAGCCACCACACCCGACCCAAGAGCTATAGTTCTTAACTGGGTCAACTTGACCCACAGGGGACATCTTGCCATGTCTGGAGACATTTTTGTTGTCACACTTGGGGAAGGGGAATGCTACCAGCAACTAGTGGGTAGAGTCCAGAGATGCTGCTTAATATCCTGTAATGCACAGGACGACCCTCCACAACTAAGAATGATCTGGCCCCACATGTCAACAAGTTCAAATCTAGACCACTGTAAGGCCTCTGGCTTTTGCTCTGAATGAGCTGGGATTATTTGGTGAATGAATGAACCCCCTCTGTGCTTGCACTGATGATAACACAGACTGTAAATCTGGAGGTGTTTCATCTTCCTCCAAACCATTTCTCGCATTCATAGAGTAAGGAAGAAAGAAAAGACACCTTTTTTTTTTTTTTCTCCCTGCGCCAAAAGCACACAGTGGAACTCCTGGTTTTGAAATGTCCTATTTTATGTGGGACCTAAAAGGATGCCAACTGTCTTCTGGCCTAGTGACAACAAAAGTGACTTCTTGGAAAGCTGCGGTAACATGGAGGTGGCTAGGGAGCAGTCCAAGGGAACAAAACAAAACAAAACAAAACAAACCTAAACCAAACCATGTTTAGCAAGGCCTGGGGGGTGTTGGGGTACCACAGGAGGCAGGCTCAGCGCGTTTATCCCCATGTAAAGATTGCAGAGATGGGGCTGGGGCTTCGCGGGTGATTTTTTTAGTGCTTTCACCTCTAATCTCCAAATCCTAGCCCTGCTCCTTCCAGAAACCTACAGCCTTGCCTAAATTTTGTGTGGGTGATTAAAGCAGAGGACCCGATTCCCTGTTCCTGCCTCTCTGTTTGTGAATAATCAAAGGCTAATCAGCCAAGGCCCCAGGGGACAGGAAATTAGACGTGCAAGATACCAGAGAGGCTCTGAGAATAAAACTGCGAGGTGAATCTGACATCAATGCCAGCAGGGGTGTCTGGGCTCTGATGGGCAGGAGCGCAGAGCCCGGGGCCAACTGGGGACAAATCCGATTTCTCCAGGGCTCAGCTGACCTCTGGCTTACACCAAAGACAGAGAAGGACAGGCTGCAAGAATCTGGCTTTTCTCCATCAGCTCAGGGATCAGTCAAATCAAAGCATTAAGAATCCAGGGTGAACTCTGATATTAGCGAGGGCAAAGGGGATGTTCTCCAGACTGACACAAACCACCGGGGTTCAAATCCCCGCTCCTCCACTTCCTGGCTGTGTTACAGTCTAAGGTCTTTGAGTCTCAATTTCCTTATCTGTAAAATGGAATCAAATACAAATAATCAGGAATGACTTTCCGAGTTTCTTTTGGTAGAAGAGTGGAAATGAATGGAGAGGAGGAAGCAGAAGTACTATTTAGTGACTCTTGTGAGCTAGACATTGTGCTCAATGCTTTAGATTTATGTTTATCGAATTCTCCTAACAACTCAATGCAGTATTGGATATTCCATTTTCATATGAAAATGCTGAGGTCTCAAAGGATAAAGCACTTGCTTGAGTCAGGGAAATGAATCCCCTTTCCATCTGCCTCCAAATCCATGTTTTATTAGTAACACCACCCAACACAGAGCACTTTGAACTTCTCATGTGTACTGCCATGCTGGGTCCTTATAATATATATCAGCACGGGTGCAGTGGCTCACGCCTATAATCCCAGCACTCCAGGAAGCCAAGGCAGGAGGATCACTTGAGGCCAGGAGTTCGAGAACAGCCTGGGCAACAAAGTGAGACCCGCCCCCACCGACGGTGTCTCTAGGAAAAGTAAAAAACTTAGCTGGGTATCATGGAGAACGCCTGTAATCCCAGCACTCTAGGAAGCCAAGGCAAGATCACTTGAGGCCAGCGGTTCAAGACCAGCCTGGAGAACAAGTGAGGACCCCATCTCTAAAGAAAATGAAAAAAAAAAAAAAACTTAGCTTGGTATGGGGGCCCATGCCTATAGTCCTCACTACTCAGGAGGCTGAGGTGGGAGGATCACTTGAGCCTAGGAGGTCGAGGCTGCAGTGAGCCATGATCATGCCACTGTGCTCCAACCTAGGCCACAGAGTGAGACCTTGTCTCTATAAAACAAAACAAAAGGCCGGGCGCGGTGGCTCACGCCTGTAATCCCACCACTTTGGGAGGTCGAGGCGGGCAGATCATGAGGTCAGGAGATCGAGACCATCCTGGCTAACACGGTGAAACCCCGCCTCTACTAAAAATACAAAACATTAGCCGGGCGTGGTGGTGTGTGCCTGTAGTCCCAGCTACTCGGGAGGCTGAGGCAGGAGAATGGCGTGAACCCGGGAGGTGGAGCTTGCAGTGAGCCGAGATCGCGCCACTGCACTCCAGCCTGGGCGACGAGCGAGACTCCGTCTCAAAAAAAAAAAAAAAATTATTCCTGCCGAGGGAGCCAGTGTTAAGAGCTATCACGGCTCCATTCTACAGATGAGGAAACTGGAGCACATCCTGTAAGGTCTCACTTGCCAAAATTTTTGTCTCCAAGAGAAAACCAGACCCTCCCTTACAAAACAAGTCAAAATGAGTGTAAAATCGGTTCCGTCAGGTGACAGCCATGAGGAGACGGATGGTGTCACATCTAGTGGGGGCGAGGGAATGGGCTGGAGGTATAGTGTGTCCAGTTGCAGGACCAAAAAACCTTGGCCCATAACTAACGTTCCCTGCACAGCCACCCCATGCCACACGCAGAGCCCAGGAGATCTCATCTCATCTTCACAGCACGCCTGGTGGCGAGTGCCCTCACTGTTCCCATTTTACAGATGAGGAAGATGAGGCTCAAGGAGCTGACGTCATTTATACCACACTGCTATTGAGTGGAGGACTGCAGAGTTGAACCGGGTTGCTTAGCACCTTTCCTGCTGCTCTGAGGTCCCTTAAAGTCTCTGTGAAGCGTAAGGATGGGAGGTGGGAGTCCTGAAAAACTGGTCTACCTGCTGCTGTGCGAGATTGAGTTGGGACAGTCAGCTCTCCCCTCTCTGGCCTCAGTCTTCACCCGGCAGGGAAGGGGCTCCACTGAAGGTCCTTCAGCTCTGACCTCCTGTGCTGCTCTTCATAGACCGTCAGCTGCTGCTTCCTAATGCAAATGCTGTCACTTGCCTCAGGGCCTTTGCACTTGCTGTTCTCCAGGCCAGGAAAAATATCCGTCTGGATATCCTCATGGTTCACTCCTCAAGCAACTTGTCAGAGGACACGCCCTATGAGAGCCACCACCCCCTGCCCCATAGGCATTCCCCATTCCTCTAATTATGTTGCTCCTCAGGCCACGTATCACTCTCTGGGCTATTAAAGATTATAATTATAATCTACAATGTCTATTATTAATATGTATAATATATATTTGCTTATTGTCTGAATATATTCTATTTATATATAATATTATGTATTTGCCTATTGTCTAAATCTTCCAACTAGAACGCAAGCTACTTTTTTATGTCCCTTCAGTATGCACAAACCCTGGCACATGACAGGCATTGGGTAAATATTTGTGGAATGAATGCCTGGATGCATTAAATCCATTTCTGGGCACCTACTGCACTTAAGGCAGACGGGAAATGCACGTGGTTAACCCACCACCACCAGAGCATCCAGCTCCATGCCTTTATCAACCTGGCCACCATGTTTCATCAGCAAATGTGAATTGGGGGAAATAACAGAATGAAGAGGGGGTGGCAGTAAGCCCCAGCAGGCTTCAGGACCAGATAAAGGAGGCCAAAAGATTCCATTTGCACAAAATACCATGCAGCCCTCTCCATCCCGTTAACCCGCTCTTCCTCAAGGAACTTCCAGAACAAACTATTGCCAAACACCATTGAGTTTAATTACTCAGATGATATTAATAGTGCAGCCAGCTTTAATTACAGACGACGCTGCTGCACAGGGGCTAAAGACACCCTCTGAATTGCTAGCGTCCCTTCCACCTCGCTTCTCTAGCTGAGGTCGCCATATGTGGGAGTTGATTTAGCCTTGACTCTGCCATAGAGACTTACCAGCAAGCTTTAGGAGAAGAGAGGCTTTTTGTCCCCTGCAGAATTGAATGGGGGCCACTCATGCTAGATTTCCCTAACTGCCAGAACATAGCTCTTATATAATGAAGGCCCAGGAAGGTCTGCAGAATGAGACTGGTTCGAGTTCTTAGAGAAAAGTTTCAGAAAGACGAGGGACACAGGAAGGATTCTGCTTTTCCCCCATCCTGGTGGACATGAAGGACCCAGGATAAGCTATGATGCTGCTTTATTAACGACCCTTTTTCAAAGCACTGACCCCGGCAGCAGGAATGGAATCTGGCCGCCTAGGCTTTCTGTTAATGAGATGAGAACTGAAGTTCAAAAATAAACTGTGGGAAGCCTGGTAGGGAAATACCAGATGACAAGAGGATAATCTGGTGACCAAAGGCATAAAAGGTGGCGGGGGTGGGGAGCCCACAGCTAAATCAATAACCAGGTCGGGAGGAATTTGGGGGTCAAAAGAGTGGCTTAGCTGTTAAGAACATGGTGAAAACTGACCTTGGATGGCTCCGTAAGAATCTTAGCTTTGTGGAGATATTTTTGTGCCTCTGACAAAATGCTATCTTTTAAGAAGTGTGCACAGACTTCATTTCTAGGCATGTAACCTTCACATTTAACTTGCATTTAAGCAAAATGATATGCGTGTAGGGAGGATTGCTATGGCGAGTTTTTAATTGCCAAAGACTAGAAACCACTTCAGCCTCAGCAGTTGTGGTATGGTTAAATAAACCATGCTATGTGAATGCAAATGCAAAATAATGCAGCTATTTCTTTCTTTCATTCTTTCTTTTTTTTTTTTTTTTTTTTTTGAGATGGAGTCTTGTTCTGTTACCCAGTCTGGAGTGCAGCGGCACGATCTCGGCTCACTGAAACTGCTGCCTCCTGGGTTCAAGTGATTCTCCTGCCTTAGCCTCCCGAGTGGCTGGGGTTACAGGCACCTGCCACCATACCTGGCTAATTTTCATGTTTTTAGTAGTGACG
The DNA here is from genome assembly GCF_000001405.40 of Homo sapiens. Taxonomy (NCBI): domain Eukaryota; kingdom Metazoa; phylum Chordata; class Mammalia; order Primates; family Hominidae; genus Homo; species Homo sapiens. The sequence goes on from NW_019805500.1 coordinate 301,908, forward strand.
GGGTTTCATCACCACCTTGGCCACGCTGGTCTGGAACTCCTGGGCTCAGATGACTGCCCACCTTAGCCTCCCAAAGTGCTGGAGTTACAGATGTGAACCACCGCGCCCAGCCTAATGCAGCTATTAAAAAGAATGGGGGCCATGATATATATACTGAACCAGAACAATCGATGAGCTAGATAGGTAAGCGACAAAAGCAAGACACAAAATAACACGTACAGTTTGCTGCTATAAGTTAGACTGTGCTTTAAGCACCGTCTAGAGCAATCCATAAGACAATTCAGATCCTTTCTCATTAGCTGTGCAACTCTGGGTATGTTACTTTACCTCTCTGGGCCTCCGTTCCTTTCTCTCTCAACTAGAGCTTTAATAGGAGTTAGTTTGTATATCTAAAGCACATATTCTCAATAGGGATGACTGTCACCCCCACCAAGCAAGCAAAATTTGGGGGAGTATATGTGTGTGAGAAAAAAAAAATCTTAGGCTGGGCACAGTGGCTCATACTTATAATCCCAGCACTTCGGGAGGCTGAGGCGGGTGGATTAGTTGAGGTTGGGAGTTTGAGACCAGCCTGGCCAACATGGTGAAACTCTGTCTCTACTACAAATATAAAATTAGCCAGGCATGGTGGCGGGCGCCTATAATCCCAGCTACTCAGGAAGCTGAGGCACGAAAATCCCTTGAACTCAGGAGGCAGTGGTTGCACTGAGCCAAGATTGCACCACTGTACTCCAGCCTGGGCAACACAACACAACTCTGTCTCAAAATAATAATAATAGTCTTAGATATTGCAATGGTCAGCCGTCCCCCAAAGCTCAACCCTATCTGATAAAATCTTTTCCCACAGTATTTAATTTCTCTCACAAGGGAGAATTTATATTAAATTAAATTTTTCTTCTTGGGAGGGTGATAATGAAAGAAAGTAATGCTTGAGTAATACTGAGCTAAAGTACTCAGAACAGCGTGAAGCAGATGGGGTGACATTTACCTTGCAATGTCGCTGCCAAGTTTAAATACAATAATAGATGCAAAGGCCACAGTGCGAAGGCGTTTCATCAGACTCCACCGCAACAACAGGTGGCGAATGCTAATATCAACTCTCACTTCTTAGATGAAGACTCGGAGGTTTACAAAAGTGGAAAGACTAGGCCAGAGGTCAGCATCTGAGCTGGAATTTTCACCTGGTCTCTCTCTCAGACTAAGAGCTTCCTCTTTATGCTCCAGTGGTGCTTGGAGACCACATGGTCTGTTTGTTCTGGTAGCTTCCCTAAAATACATGTCAGGGCTCGGCACAGTGGCTCATGCCTGTAATCTCAGCACTTTGGGAGGCCAAGGTGGGCGGATCATTTGAGGTCAGAAGTTCAAGACCAATCTGGCCAACATGGTGAAACCCCATCTCTACTAAAAATGCAAAAATTAGCCAGGCGTGGTGGCATACACCCTAGCTACTCAGGAGGCTAAGATGGGAGAATTGCTTGAACCCACCAGGTGGATGTTGCAGTGAGCCAAGATTGTGCCACTGCACTCCAGCCTGGGTGACAGAGCAAGACTCGATCTCAAAATACTACTACTACTACTACTACTAATAATAATAATAATAAAAAAATACATGTCGAGGTCAACCCAGGCCCAGGTACCAGGATGTGTCCTTACTCTGCTGAGTATCAGCATAAGATGTCGAGTCTAGACCAGGGGACACCGTCGTAGCAGACAGCCATGAATACCTCATCCTGTCTGCTGTTAGCAAGCTGCAAAGCCTGCTGGTCCTTCCTCTTCCTCCTCTTGTGAGGCCCTCTGGAGAAATTTCCATCTGAACTGAGCACTGAGAACAGATCCACCTGCCATGAGCAATGGCCTGTGTCAATTATTTGGATACAGGGCAGTGGAAGGGACAGATTTGTTTTCCTTGATGGCAGCCAGAAAGCTCTTTGTCAAATCTCCAGTTCCCCACCATGGTGTAGGTGTTAATACCTATTCCAGCTCCAAGGTATGATGGTCCTATGGTTGTGTTTCCTTTCTTTGTCTCAGTTTTAATTTTTGCAGTCTTATTTTGTTTAGTACACCCATGCAGACTGCCATAAACCCTTCCTGAAAGAGGGATGGGTGTAAAGAGATGAATCAACAAACCACAGAACTTCAAAAGGTTCCAGAAAAAAGCCACCACTGGCACAATAACGGGTTACTCAATCCCCCAAGGCTTTTGAGGAAGACTAGGGAAGGAAGGGGTTGACCTTGGGTCTAGAATGGGTGAGGGGGAGAGAAAAGAGAAAGCGAGAGAGAGCTAGCAAGTGAGCACACATGTGACCGTGAGCTTAATGCAAGGGGATAAGCTGGGGTAGGGTTGGCAGTATGGGTAGGGAAGGGGAGTACATGGGAAAGGAAAGGGGAGGACTGGAGCTTCAGTCGTGATGGATCTTGAAAGACAGACCACTCACTGATTCCTTGGTTTACTCATTCATTCATTCAAGAACTACCATGTGCAAAGAATTGGGCTCCCTGCATGAGATACAATGATGTAAAAAATAATGACGTGGTTCCTGCCCTCATGGAAATCATATTTAGTTCAGGGGTTGGCAAACTACAGCTTTAAGACCAAATCTGGCCTGCAATCCTCTTTTGCGAACCAAAGTTTTATTGGTACACAACCACTCCCGTTCATTTGCATATTATCTACAGCTACTGTACAGCCACGCTGGCAGAACTGCTTAGCGGTGACAGAGCCCATGTGGCCAGCAAAGGCTCAGATATTTACTAATCTATCTGGTCCTCTACAGACAGTTTGCACACTTCTGCTTTAGCTGCTATTACTGTTGCTGTTGCATATTATTTGTGAGCATATAAAAATGTTTCCAATAAACAAAGAGACATGTTGATGCCCCCGTGAGTCCCCAGTTTTCTCTGCCATAAAACTGGCATAAGAGGGCCATTGTGAGGGTTCTAGGAAAAGCTCTAAGAAATAAGCCCAGAACACAGACACCTACAATCCTTTTACATTTTCATTACTAATGATATTACAATGGCTGGGAGTAAGAGGAGGAATCATTTCACGCCACATGTCTGTCTTTAAAACACATTCAGCCTTTTCACTCTGATTCTAGAAACAGGTATGATTAGTTGATCAATGGGACCTCAATCTAGACAATCCAGGCATTTGACCACATTCTCCTGATTTTTCAGATGAAGATTTTTTTTCCCATCATTTTGACATTTCTGGAACTGAGGCTTATCTTATAAACACTGTGTACATATGATTTATTAATTTGTATTTGTTAAGAGCAAATGATGTGGCAGACACACAAGATACAGGAACAAAATACATATGTGAGCAATGCATGTGTGTATATACATGTGCGTGTGTGTGTGTGTGTGTACAGGTGCATGCAGATATATATGATAGTTCATAAGACATCAATTTATGCTAACGTTGGAAGGTAAGAAGGCATAATTTATGCTTATGTTGGAAGGTAAGAAGGCAGTAACACCTTAAAGTCTGTCAGTTGGTAATAACCATCGTGGTGAAGGGAAAAAAAAGTAGATCAGAGGAACAGAGGAGAGCAGCAGTTTGCAATTTTCAGAGCAATGGCTGGGATAGCATTCCTCCCAAAATGACCTTTGATCAAAGACCAGAGGCAGGTGAGGAGCAGATGTGCTGGAATTCTGGCTTCAGGCACAGGTAAGGGCAGGTGCAAAGATGACTATCTCTGTCAGTGTGTCTTTTTTTCCCCCTCCTTCCTCCCCAAAGCTGTTGCCAACACAATACTGTCCTCCAGTCACAGAAATGCTGTATGTGGATGGTATAAGCATGCTGCGAAAAAATGCTGCAGGGATTTGGACCATTTGGACCGCGCAGGGGAGGGTGTTAAAGTGATTGTAACATGTTTTATTTCAGCTAGTTCTTCAAGCTCAGCTCCTTTGAAATAGCTGACATGTTTTCTTGGCCCTCAACCTGCTGTAAGCCTACGTCCAAAAGCGTCATATGTCAACAACCTGGTAAATCCACAGTTAAGATTTTTTTTTTCCCACAAAAAGTCATGGGAACCAAACAGGCTCTGACCAAAGTTGCTGGACCAGTTAAACCACTACCAGTTACTTCTTTGCCCACGGTGAGTAAGGCTGCTTGGGAAGGTAACCTATTTTCTCTGAATACTCTCAAAGCATTCAAGATAAATATATCTATTCATTTGTATATCCCCCAACTTGGCACAGATGAGGCCTTGGGTTTGGATAGTAAAATTTAACACTACCCTATGACATTTCAATGCTAAGTTTCTTGGCAAACTCACCAAGATTGCAGCTGTAGGCCCAGAAAGAAAGGGTGACAGCTTCCAGATGGCACAGGAATGATCTGGAAGTCCTTGCATGTTTATAGCACCACTCAGTGCCGCAGGGTGCCCACTGTGGGCCGGGGGTCATGTTTAATTTCACTAACTCCTGATGATGAGCCTGCATCATCTCCCTATTGTACAAAGGAGGCGACAGAGGTTCAGCAAAGTGCTGACTGCAAAGCCATCCCAGTTCCCCAAATCAGGATGCCCCCTTGTCTTGACCACCCAGGACAGGATGGGAGTCATTCTCCAACTTAGATTCCAGTTCATGTGTCCAATGTGAGCCTAAGACTACAGTAACTAATCTCACTACTTTCCCTATCTAGTTTCCAAAACAAAATGTCCTCTGGATAAGAGCGAACAGCAGAATGGAGTTTGTGTGTATGTGTGTGCAGCTTTAGTTTTCTTAATATTTACATATAATACAGAATACCTTCTTCTTCTTCTTTTTTTTTTTTTTTTGAGATGGAGTCTCACTCTGTCACCCAGGCTGGAGTGCAGTGGTGCGATCTCGGCTCACTGAAACCTCCGCCTCCTGGGTTCAAGCGATTCTTCTGCCTCAGCCTCCCGAGTAGCTAGGATTACAGGCATGCACCACCACGCCCAGCTAACTTTTGTATTTTTAGTAGAGACAGGGTTTCACCATGTTGGCCAGGGTGGTCTCGATCTCCTGACCTCATGATCCCTCCACCACCGCCTCCCAAAGTGCTGGGATTATAGACGTGAATACCTTCTTTCTTAACAGCATTAAACAGACGAAGTATTGCTCGACTAAGCATTTGTAACTATAAGGACCCGGCAAACCCCAGACTCTGACTTCCGGAGAACTTTATTTCCACATGAAAAGAGCCCACACATGTTAGAAACAGTCAGTCCTGTGTTCAGATTCCCCTTCCCCTGACACCGCCGTGGTGGGGAGTCCCTGTGGGGGCAGTCACTTCTTTCTTCTAACCTGAGTCTGACTCATCCTCTCACTCCTCTGGCTAAGGACAGGAAGGGACAGTACCCTCTGAGAACCTGCTGAGAACTGCTGTGATGTCCCTTCCCTGACCCAAACAGAAGGAGGTACCCCTGAAAAGGAGACAGGATTAAAAAGCCAACCCAGAGAGCCTCTGGGTGCCAAAGGACTGCCGAAGCTCTTTACCCTCCCTCTGTATGTGGAAATTTCAGGGTAACTTACCAAGTGCTTTCTTCTCTTAGGAGCCACAGTCTGTGTGTACTCAGATTGGGAGAATGCAAATATAAGCGGTTGGGAGAGGGAAAAAGAACAAGAGAATAGGAGCGAGAACATTGGGAGAGAGAGAACAAGAGACAGATAATAAATGAGAGGAGAAAAATTCGAGCTACACACCATTTTCACCCTATATACTGACTTTGAAGCCTTAAGGTCAGCCAGGCACAGTGGCTCACGCCTGTAATCCCAGCGCTCTGGGAGGCCGAGGCAGGCGGCGCGCATGTGTATACTCCAAGCTACTCTGGAGGCTGAGGCAGGAGAATGGCTTGAACCCAGGAGGCAGGGGCTGCAGTGAGCTGAGATCACACCACTGCACTCCAGCCTGGGTGACAGAGTGAGACTGTCACAAAAGATATATATATATATATATATTCCCTCTAAGTCTAAGTAAGATACAATTCCTCTATACGTGTGTGTTTCACTTTATGCAGCAGACAGACTTCCAAAAAACTGGATATGAATAAATTTCTTAAAATCTTTTTATATACATGAAAAGTCACAACTTTAAGGTACCCCATTCATGAGGACATGAATCCTTTGGTAAGATTAAACATCCAAATTCCTAGAAATATATCCCCTTGGGAATTTTGAGTTTCCTAGTCTTGAATGTCCTTACATTCATGAAGTCAAAAGGGTATTAGAGGCATCTCTTCCAGCCCCTTCACTATGCAGAGGAAGAATCTGAGGCCCAGAGAGGCAGGGTGACTTGCCCAAGGTCACACAGCTAGAGTGAGTCAGAGCTGAAGCCTGAACTTGGGAGTGTAGTCTCTGTAGAGGTGCACGTACTGGCGGTTACTCACTTGTGCTACCTGAAATAAATGGACCTGAGAATCTGGTAGTTATATGAGCCTGCAGTTTTGTGGGGTTTTTGTTGTTGTTGTTGTTGTTGTTGAGACGGAGTCTCACTCTACTGCCCAGGCTAGAGTGCAATGACATTATCTCAGGTCACTGTAACCTCCGCCTCCCGGGTTCAAGCAATTCTCCTGCCTCAGCCTCCTGAGTAGCTGGGATTATAGGTGTAGACCACCACGCCCAGTAATTTTTACATTTTAGTAGAGATGAGGTTTCACCATGCTGGTCAGGCTGGTCTCGAACTCCTGACCTCGTGATCGGCCCGCTTCGGCCTCCCAAAATGTTGGGATTATAGGCATGAGCCACCATGCCTGGCCGAGTCTGCAGTTTTAATGCCTTATTTTCTGGAAGTCAAAACTGTATTACTGAGGTGTTTCTCTTTTTCATTACAGGAGTCATCTCTATTTTATTTATATTTTGCAGTGAAATGATTTAAATCAAATGTGCTTGGGTGCAGAGGAAATCTGATCTGAAAGAGAGTTTTTATGGCAGAGAGAGAGCCAGCAGATACTTATTTCCTGCCTTGAAGAGGCCAGTAACATCCTGGTACAAGGGGATTCATCAATACATCTTTCATAAGAGGGCTTCTCTGCACAGTGAGCTGGAAAATCTTTCCAATGACTCTGGCCCATTTGTAACTTTGCCCCTGAATAAAAGAAGGGATTGATCGGGGCTTGGAATGCTTCCATACCCAGGGCCTTCCTGCACCCCAGGAGGCAGAGTCTATAAATGGAATTCAACTGGGCAATTGCTCATGGAGAGAAAACCCAGCAGGGGTAAGCACAGCCTCTAAGGAGAGGGCAGTGAAGGGTTAAAGGTGCACCACCTTCCTCTGCTGGGGTCTGCAGAGGGACTGATGCCTGGAAGTCTCTAAAATAAAGAGTCTCAAAAATAGTCAGAGAGACTTGCTATTGGGTATTCTATGGACTGCAGATCCATTCCCCACTCTCCATGATCTGCAGTGTATGCTGGTGGTGGGATATACCCTCAGTGTGTCCATCAGTCAGTCAGTTGGCATTTCTCAAGATCTACAATGAACCAAAGCAGAGTGAGAGAGCTTGAAGGCTTCGTAACATGGCAAAGGGGCACGGAGAATTGAAAAGTATGTCCAGTTCCTGTAGACACATCCCACAACCCCAACCTCCCAAGATGGTGCCAGTAAGCTTTCTGTTGGGTGAGAGACCAGGAGACCTGAGCTCCACCCTGGACCCTGCCACTTAAGTTAGCAGCTCTTAGGGAACTGATTTCTCCCTTTGGGCCTCAAAAGCATGTCCAAGTTGACTAAGCCTGCTTTAAAAGTTACTTGGAGAAGTGCTGAGATGATTAAATAAGGACAGAGTCCAACACCAGGCACAGGACAGGCCCTGAATGAAGAGATTACTTCCCTTCTCCTTAGAACCTTTCCTCTCCTCACCCAGCTCCCTGTAAGGTGAAGATACAGCTCTATCTACAAAGAACGGTCACTTCTCTCTTCCTTTCTCTAGGGTGGTTTGGGTTCAAAGACGGAAACTGTATTTGCACCCTTGCAAGCTGGTTCGGTCCACACTTGCTTTCCTACCCAAAGACCACCACAATCCCTAGCTTCTTTAGAACTTCCTTGGCATGTGAACTTGAACAATACCCTACTCTTCTCCAAGACCCAGTTTCAGGGTAAATGGGATTAGAAAACCTAATTTAGTCAGAGTTGCTATGAAGATTAGAAATCAATAGGTTTCCCAGTACCTGACACATGGTAGATGCCCAATAAATGAAATTTATTATTTTCTGCAAGGAAAATAACATCTATCTCCTCTAATTGTCATGAGGATTAGAAGTAAAATACAAAGAGCATTTAGCGCAGTGTCTGGCGCAAAATAGCGGATACTGTATACATCTTGGTTGATGGAGACAAAAGATCAAAAGAGGAACGTAAACGTGAGCAAAAGCAAAAAATAAAAATAAAAAAAAAAGGTTCAAGGAAAAACAAACGTCTAGCCCAGAGCCTAGCAATCAGAGAGAGCTAGAAAGATATGCGCCTAATGCAAAGTAGGAGAGGTGGAAAGGCGGCTCAGAGACACGCAAGGGTCTACAACACAGTTTCTCAACCTTGACACTGCTGACATTTTGGGCTGGATCATTCCGTCTTGGGTGAGTGCTGTCCTATGCAGTGTAGGATGTTGAGCAGCATCCTTGGCTCTACCCACTAGATGCCAGTAGCATCCGTCCCCCGTAGTTGTAACAACTAAAAAAATGTCTCTGGACATTGCCAAATGTCCCTTGGGGAGGCCTAATTACCCCCAGTTGAGAGTTGCTAGTCTAAAATAGTGTCTGACACACCGTGGGTCCTCACTCAGCAAATACTTGTTGAAAGAAGGCAGGGATGGAGGGGAGAGGGATCAACGCTGACCACCCCATACCTGGGTAGGGCAAGCCCTCTGGCTTGCCTGGGCTGCTTCAGCCATAATGAACGGGTGGGAGGGAGGCTCTTCATGGACATGCATCAGCTTGGTTTCTCTGAAACAGGAGGGTGTTCCTAGAGTGTACTGTCTGTGCTGTGCCTTGTTAAGAGGGGAAATTTTCCAAGAACCTATTTTTCCAGCGCTGCAGATTTCACGTGGATATGGCCTTAAACATCCACAACCCTGAACCTGCATCTCATTCCTCTGCCTTCAAAGGGATTCTTTGGAAGCACTTCTTGTCCCAAATGGTTTAATGCCTTTATTTTGCGAATGAGCCATTGCAGTCAAGAAGATTAACAGGGTTAAGATGTGTGCTTGTGGTTCTGGGCTTAGTGGTGGAAAAATCATGCTTCTTGCTTGTGAACTTAACCTTTTGGTGGATGGTGAGAAAGGCTATGTGGGGAGTGAAATAAAATGCATAGGTCACGGGGGTAGGGGCCCCAGGGGCCAGGGGTGGCAGGGAAGAGATGCCGTGTGTGCTCAAAGGCAGCTCAATTTGGAGGCTGGGAGTGGGAACACATCATCCCTGTAAAGATGGGATCAGATTGAAACTTCTGGGACCTGATTTCAGGAATGAGCTGCAACAAAATGCCCGCACACTTCTTGAACACCTTCCTTTTCCTCCCCAGCTAAAATCCTTTCCTGATTCCTCAGTCTCCCTTGGGTTCATTCACTTCCCTCCAGCCCTACTTTTCCCCTCTTGCTTCTGGGCAGTATCTTTAGCCATTACCAGGTTTTCACTCACACCAGGACCTTTGCACATGCCACTTCCTCTTGCTAAATTAATCTTCATTCCATTTACACTTCTTCCTTTCAGCTTAAATGTCACTTCCCCGGGGAAAGGCTCCTGTTCCCTTTGGGTCAAGACTCACAGTCATACAGTCTCCGTACACTGGGAATTTAATCCCATTTCACTTATCACAGTCCCACTCAGTGACTGGCATCTGTCCCCACCAGATAGTGATGTGGCCTGAGAGCAGGAATTGCATCTTCTGCTCAATAATGTGCCCTCCTCCTACTCAGGGTCAGTAAACATCTGTGGAATAAGTAAGTGCATAAATGGGGAAAAGGCAGGCCCGGCGCAGTGGCTCATGCCTGTAATCTCAGCACTTTGGGAGGCCAGGGCAGGTGGATCATGAGGTCATGAGTTCAAGACCAGCCTGGCTAACATGGCGAAACCCCATCTCTACTAAAAATACAAAAATTAGCCAGGCGTGGTGGCACACACCTGAAATCCTAGCTACTAGGGAGGCTGAGGCAGGAGAATCACTTGAACCTAGGAGGCAGAGGTTGCAGTGAGCCGAGATCGTGCCACTGCACTCTAGCCTGGATGACAGAGCAAGACTCCATCTCAAAAATAATAATAATAAAGGAGAGAAGGAAGAGAGAGCTTTGTTCCGAGTGTAGACAAAGAGGGTTTCTTTCAGGGGTCATGTCCCACAGCTCCATTCCCAGACACCATTAGAATAAAACACAGCATGGTGTCAGAGCACGGAGAAAAAGGTGAACTTCCTTCTGCCTCCTTTCCAGCTCACACGCATCTTGTTTCCAGCCCCAAACTTGATGAAGATGGGGCTCCCTTCCTTGCCTTCAGCCCAGGATAATCACCTGCTGCAAATTTACCCGGTGTTTAAATTGTAACAGCAAGTCACCAAGCTCTTATTGTCACAGTAGCAGAAGGGGTTACATCAGAGTAGAAGATGTGGACCTTGGCCTCAAGGAGCCCAGCAGTATCAGCACTCAGGAGCTGGTTAGAAATGCAGACTCCCAGGCCCCACCTCAGATGGGCTGAATTAGAACCTGCATCTTAACTAGGTCCTCTGGTTCATGTGAGCAGCCTCGTGGGCTGCTCATGGGCTTCAGTAGCCTGCTCATCAGAATCATCTGGAAGATTTGTTAAACTACAGATTGCTAGAGCCCTGCCTTCACCCCCAGTATGTGATTCCAAGAGTCTGGGGGTGGCAGGTGAAGGTGCGTTTCTTTCCATTTCCCATGTGATGCAGCTGCTGTTGGTTCAGGACCACGCTTCGAGAACAGCTGCCCTACTGCTCAGACCCAGGCACACAGCTTAGTTTCCAGCCAGATCCATGGGACTGTGGGTGAATTCCTTCCTTCTTCAACAACGTTGATGCTGATTTCATGCTGTTTGTGCAACTTAGGCAGTAAAAAGTTTCCTTTCCCCCTTGTGTGTATTAGTCTGTTTTCACACTGCTGATAAAGGCATGCCCGAGACTGGGTAATTTATTAAGAAAAATAAGTTTAATGAACTCACAGTTCCAAGTGGCTGGGGAGGCCGCACAATCATGGTGGAAGGCAAAAGGCACGTCTTACATGGCAGCAGGCAAAAGGAAAATGAGAGCCAAGCAAAAGGGGTTTCCCCTTATAAAACCATCAGATCTCATGAGACTTATTCACTACAATGAGAACAATATAGGGGAAACTGCCCCGATGATTCAGTTATCTCCCACTGGGTCCCTCCATGGAGGGAGGGAATTATAGGAGCTACAATTCAAGATGAGATTTGGGTGGGGACACAACCAAACCATATCAATGGGGGTTTAAGCAGAGGTCTGAGGCCCAGAAAGGCCTTCTAGAAGAGTCAAGGTGTGAGCTGGAGGATGAAAAAGAGCTTGCCGACAGACAAGAGGAAGAGGGGCGTTCTAGACACACAGCACTGCCCAAGCCAAATGAAGCAGGCGTGAAGCCAGGCACGCCCAGGGGGTGACTCATCTGCTGTGCCCAGAGCTCAGGCCAGGTAGGAGGGAGATCCAGGGGAAGGGTAGGGCCTGGAGATCACAGAAGTTCTGCCTCCTGTTACCTGTAAGATCCCTGCTGGCATAGTACTGTGAAGGACTCAATGAAACATCCCTGAAATCCTCATGATCATCAGGGCTGGCATTCCTGTAGCGCTTACCATGTATGGGGTCTTGTCTCAGGGCCTTACCCGCATTAACATGTTTTTCTTTCTAACTTAAAAAAATAATAATTATAGACTCACAGGAGGTTGCCAAGATAGCAGAGTTCTGCACTCCCTCACCCAGCTTCCCCCAATGGTGACATCTTATGTAACTGCAGTGCAATATTAAAACCAGGCAATTCACATCAGTACAATACTGTTAACGGGACTGCAGATTTTGTTTTTGTTTTCACCCATTTTCAACATACTCATGTGTGTATCCGTGATTCTATTTACTGTTTAATCTTCACAGCAATCCTATTATCCCATTTTGCAGATGGGAAAACTGAAGCACAGACAGAATAAAGACAGAATAAAGTGACTTGTCCAAGGAGCTCGAATTCAGGGAATCTAGCTCTAAGCTACTATGCAGTGTTACTTCTCCGGCAAGTTCTGGTAACTAGTGCAAACTCGCTCATGGATCAGAGATGTTTCTGAGGGTACTCATATTTGAAAAGGACTTCTAGGTGTCAAATGTAGGTTCCAGACCCATCCCAAAGAACCGGATCCTCTTGGAAAAGCTCCCCCTGGCCGGGGCTGAGCAGGGAAGCTGGGAGAGAGGGCATGTCCGCCCAGGGCCATGGCCACAGATCCCCAGCCTTGTTGGCTCCTGGATAGTCTCTATCCCAGCTCAAAGGTGTGCCTGTCTGCCTCATCTGCTCTCAGGTTTCTGGTCTGGTGATGTTCTCGGGACTGGCCTGGGCTGCCTGCCAACACCAGAACTAGACAAAAATCTGCAGTTCTGAGCCTCAGCCCCTGCCCCTGGAGCCCTGGCAACTTCACAGAGGCCTGCTTGTGAGGCCAGGAAGCAGGAAGCTGGGCTGCTCAGCCCTCCGCCAACCTCCAGGCCCCTGGCTGCTGGGGCTGGAGGAGGGAGAGAGAAGGGGACAGACAGGACATCCAGTAAAGCTGTAACACCACCAAAAAAGGCCTCCCACACAAGCCAGCCTTGGCAGCCAGCGACCTACCAGACAAGGCCCCCCTTTCCTGCTGACTTTTATGGAGTGTTGGGCTCCTTGGAAGGGAATGTTCCCTGTGCTTAGAAATATGTGGAGATGATCTATGCATGTGGACAGGGACTGCTTAGACCCATGCACACAGCTTGGTTTCTAGCCAGATCCGTGGGACTGTGGGTGAATTCTTTCCTTCAACAGCATTGATGCTGCTATAATGCTGTCTGTGTAACTTAGGCAAGAAAAGGTTTCCTTTCATTAGAGGGGAAAACATCCAAACCATTAAAAAAAAAAAAAAGTTCATAGGAATCCATGATAGCATTGGGAGTGGTTCTGCCCAGACATGGAGCGACTGTGGTTAGGACCCAAGAAACAGCCTCATCTGTTAACCTCTCCAAGACTCAGTATCCTCAGCTGAAAAGTGTGGATTAGGCTGGAAGGATCCAGCCCAAACTATGAACCTACAGGGAGAATGGGAATAAGGGGATATAATTAAGGGGCTTTTATTTCTATTCTGTCCAGAGATTCAAAATGCAGTTGCCTCAGACAGGCCAGGCCTCAGCCATGTGTCAAGGTCATCAGTGATAAATCAATCCACCCTGGGAGGGTCAGGACACTGGAGAGGGTCTGTCCAGCCAAAAGAACATTAGAACTCAATTGTTTTAAGACACTCTGCAGGCCAAACCAAACTTGTCGACTCACTAGTTACTAGCTTTGAATTCTAAAGTCGACTCTTGTCCAGAAATCATTTCAGGAGCTCCAAAATCTCAAGATCAGGAGATCCTAGAGAAAGATTAGAAGCAACAGGCCCCTTGTGTGTGGCCCTTAAGTTAACACGTCACTGGCTCCCCAGCAGGGAACCTGGTGGGCCCTGACTTCAGGAGCCTCCCCAGGCCCACTCATCACCCACAAAACAGCACCCTTGGGGTGCTGCAGAGAGGGAGGAAAAGTGCTTAGTCAGCCCACCCCGCTGCACGTTGCCGAGTCAGTCATTTTTTTAGAGCCCTCTAGAAACCACTAGATTCCAGGTCCTAGAATATGCACTACAGGCTTCCCTTGGAGCATGAGAAGTACCTCTCTGACTCCCACCAATTGCTCCTCCATGAATGGCAGCCATCCATCCATCTGCTATCCAAGAGAACGCATACTGGGTGAAAATGTATGCACAATCAGCTGAGAGCAACATGCGAAACCAAATTATTATCTATCCCCTCCCATTCCAGGAAAGAAAGGCCTGTGATGAAAGACACAGAAACAAGAAAACCACTACACTAGTGAGAGAAAAATCAATAATCAAAGTGATAGAGGAGAAACTTGACAAACCAAAGCTAACAGAATAATTATGATTAACATTAGATGAGGCTCTGAGCTCCCTGGTGGCCAAAGCAAAAAGGGATGCTTTGTATTATATAACTCATATACAACTTGACAGCTAGAAGCTTAGCCAAAGAAAAAGAGAAAAGTTCAGTCCTGGTACGAGTTTGTCAGGCAGGTGTGTAGGTGGCGGAGGTGATAAAGTAGAGAGGTGAGAGGTACCCAGGTCAAATGCAGCCTGGTGGGCCAAGGTCAGGCCTTGGCTTATACTGAAAGAGGCATGAGGAGCCACGTGGCGGGTTATTCGCAGAGTCAAGACTTCATCTGACTCATGATTTAAAAGAGCAGCTCTGGGAGCTATGCTGGGGATGGCCCACCTGGGGAAAAGGCAGAAGGAGGGAGGAAGATTTAGAGACTACAGAAAAAAGCCAGGCAAGTCCTTAGGAGAAAATCCATTCTCCTTCCTAGGACTGACTTACAAAGCTCAGCATGTCCTGAACCTGCCTCTCCATTCAACCCAAACTCATTTCTCTTTCCCTCCCTCCAGCTACCCTGGTCTCCATCTATCTCCTGCCTTGTGGATGCTCTTTGTCACCTTGTGCATTTGCACATGTTCTTCCCCCTACTGGCATGTTCTTCTCCCCAGCCTCATCCTTTGCATCTCAGCTGAAATGTCAGTTTCCTGGAGAGCCATTTCCCAAACCCCTATCACAAGTAGAGAATTCTCGCTCCCCTAACTCTCAATTCTAGAATCTTCTGCTTCTATCTCAGCACTAGTCACAGCAGATCGTTATTGTAACACTGTACCTATGTGTTGGTTGTTGGTTTTGTCCCGTCTCTCTACCAGGATGTCTATTATTCTAGGAAGTCAAAGATAAGTCTATTCCCATTGCATTTCCTCCAGCCCCATAGCATAAGACTTGGCACAAAGTAGGTGCTTAATAAATTATGGCGAACAAATGGACCCCATGAGGCAGACACAGAATTAGCTTCAGGTTAGAAAACGGAAGCTCAGAGAGGCTCAGGCAACTTGCCCAAGGTCACCTGGTGGTAGATCTCAAGTCTGACTCCAAGGCTAGGCCCTTTGACCCTATACCCAGTTTCTCTGAACTCAAATTAGATGACCTTGCCCTGATCATGCCTCGGCAAGTCCCTGGTAGGAGGTCCTTACCACTGCATTAAACCAAGATCTTAGCGCTTTGACAAAGGGCCAACGAGAACATGAAGATGATCTGTAAAGTCCCTAGAAGACGCCAGGAGAAGCTTAGGAAATTGCAGCCGCACCTGGGTCAGATCCCAACAGAGTACAACAGCAAAGGGGCACTAGGAAATAGCCCCCACCTGGTTGGCCACACTGCCTCCACCTTTCACCACTCACAACACAAACTATTCTCCCCGAAGCGCACAGCTTTTATCTGATCAATTTTCTAGGCTGTGGAACCAAACAGTGGAATCCACAGGAAATTAAGCTTATTGACTCAGTCTTTGAACACCACATGGAGAAGAGATATTTACACATGTCATCGGAGCCCTGGGGACTGTAGGTTATTGGCAGCATGTATTTACAGAGTTTCGCCCAACAGTGGAGATGGGGAGAAAAACCACCATGCCTCCCCCTCCATGCAGATTTGGGGAATTCAGAGAGATGAAACAAGAGTTAGGACCCCCTGCTTTTTATTTATTTATTTATTTATTTTTGAGACAGTCTCTCTCTGTCGCCCCGGCTGGAGTGCTGTGGTGTGATCTCTGCTCACTGCAGCCTCTACCTCCTGGGCTCAAGTGATTCTCCCACCTCAGCCTCCCAAGTAGTTGGGACTACAGGCACGTGCCACCATGCCTGGATGATTTTGTTAACTTTTGTAGAGACAAGGTTTCACTATGTTGTCCAGGTTGGTCTTGAACTCCTGGCCTCAAGTGATCCTCCTGCCTCAGCCTCCCAAAGTGCTGGGATTACAGGCGTGAGCCACAGCACCCAGCCAGGATCCCTGCTCTTGAGGCTCTGTTTTACTTCTGCTTGGCTGGCTCAGACAGCAGGATTTGGTGGTAAAGCTAATTTTACACAGACCCTGTTACCTGAAAGAGCTCACTTTGAAACCACAGGCAGATTTTTTTTTTTTTTTTGAGACGGAGTCTCGCTCTGTCGCCCAGGCTGGAGTGCAGTGGCGCAATCTCGGCTCACTGCAGGCTCCGTCACCTGGGGTTCACGCCATTATCCTGCCTCAGCCTCCCGAGTAGCTGGGACTACAGGCGCCCGCCACCTCGCCCGGCTAATTTTTTGTATTTTTAGTAGAGACGGAGTTTCACCGTGTTAGCCAGGATGGTCTCGATCTCCTGACCTCGTGATCCGCCCGCCTCGGCCTCCCAAAGTGCTGGGATTACAGGCGTGAGCCACCGTGCCCGGCCCCCAGGCAGATTTTATGGAGCTCTCAATGTTGCAGCAATAAACTGTGATCTGTTTCCCCATCTAGGTGTTTGCCTCCTGCCATTTCTTCATGGTTCCTTGACTGTAACTTCTCTTTGGGTCATTTACAATTAGAGAGGTGAGGCAACCTTTGACATTCTTGACGGATGCCCTGGAAGACTGGTAAATGAATGCCCAAATTAAAATTAACCACAATAAATAATGGCATCAGATGAGGCACAGTGGCTCATGCCTGTCATCTCAGCACTTTGGGAGGCCTAGGCGGGAGGGTGGTTTGAGCCCAGGAGTTCAAGACCAGCCTGGGTAACAGAGTAGTAACTCATCACTACACAAAATACAAAACTTAGCTGGGTATGGTAGCATGTGTCTGTCCCAGGTACCTGGGAGGCTGAGGTGGGAGGATGGCTTGAGCCCAGGAGATCGAGTTTGCGGTGAGCCATAATTGCACCACTGCACTCCAGCCTGGGCCACGGTGGGAGACGCTGTCTCAAAAAAAAAAAAAAAAAAAAAAAAAAAAAGGCATCAGGAGCTAGTATTTATGGTATGCAGTATCTCTTTACCCTCACATGTTAAATCATGTTTCCTTTTGTAATCAGAATAAAATCCAAGCTCCTTATCATAGCCTATGATGTCCTACAGGATCTAGCTACTGCCCACCTCTGTAATGTCCCCTCTCTTCCTCTCACTCATCAATATGTTTCAGCCACCACGGCGAGCTCATTCCTGCCTCAGGGCATTTGCACACACTATTCCTCTGCCTGGAATGCTTTTCCCTGCATCCTTGAATATCTGTCTAGTTTATTCCCATTGCTCAATGCTGGGATCAGTTAATTACCTACCCCACACCAGTCATTACCCGTCTTGTCACCCTGTTTAACCATTATCACAGCACCTTTTCACTTGTTTGAAGCGTTCTTATGTATTTCCTTATGTGTTTATCATCTGTGTCTTCTTGCTAAGGTCGGTGAAGCTGAGACCTTGGATTTTCAGATTTCCAGATTCCCAGTATATCTAATGCCTGACGTGATACCAACACATAGCGGATGCTGAATAAATACTCAAGGAAGAAATGAAAGAGAGAATGGGAACTGGACCCTGGGTTTACTTGATCTCACTCCAAAGCCGGGGCTCTTAACCACTGAGCTACACAGCCTCATCACAGGACACTCTGCTGAATCAGCAGCTCCTGTTCAAACAGCTAGACTTCCAAAGTCAACACCAGCACATGGCTTTTCGGGGGAGGAGTACATTTCATCACAAGGCCAAGATTGTGTTTTGTTTTGTAAATCACTTCCTAAGTATTACCAAGGCTCCCACACCAATGAATCCTTCCTCCTTTCCTCCTGCAGGGTAGAAGGTCCTGGCTTGGTTCTCCAACCAGCTAAAGGCCTGTTTCCCGCATGCAAAGATGATGTTTGTGCTTTAGCAAAATGCAACGTCATGCAATCCTGGGGTCAGTTATGCAGATCCGAAGCACTACTGGAATTCAGAACCTGGTTCCATGAATTTGTTAACTGAGTCTACAGATGTATATAATGAACTTCCAGACACTCAAGACGATGCAGAGAAAAACCAGAAAACTATAGTGGGAAAAGCAAGGATTATGATGACAAGAACTCCATGTGGTTCCATCCTGGGATCTGCTTACTCTTTTTTTTTTTTTTTCTTCAGATGAGTCTAACTCTCGCCCAGGCTGAAGGGCAGTGGCACGATCTCAGCTCCCTGCAACCTCTGCTTCCTGGGTTCAAGCGATTCTCCTGCCTCATCCTCTCGAGTAGCTGGGATTACAGGCATGTGCCACCATGCCGGGGTAATTTTTGTATTTTTAGTAGAGACAGGGTTTCACCATGTTGGCCTGGCTGGTCTCAAACTCCT